>NT_187538.1:0-113034 GCF_000001405.40 Homo sapiens | reverse complement strand
CACAAGTCTTACTCCTGACAACTCTGCGATGTATTCGGAGATGAGTTTTACATAGCAGGTAGAGCAAGGACACGGTGAGAGGCAGTGAGAACACAGATGGAGAGTTTGCCTCAGGCTCTGATTCTAGAGGGAGGGATGGATGTGGGTTCAGAGACGGTTGTGGACTTCAGGGAGGGAGGGGGAGAAAGCAGTAGGAATTTGAGGCAGTTCAGGGCAATGGGTTTGATTTCTTTGGTAACGTAGAGAAGGAACACATTTATTGTAGAAAACACAGGTAGTGATAAAAGAAAACAAGAGTATTTTAATATCAATCCCTTGTCACAACCACTCTTAACATTTTGCTGTGTTTCTTTCCAGAACTTTTTTTTTTCCGAGATAGAGTCTTGCTCTGTCTTACCCACGCTGGAGTGCAGTGGCAAGATCCTGGCTCACTGAAGCCTCCACCTCCCCAGTTCAAGCGATTCTCCTGTCTCAGACTCCCGAGTAGCTGGGATTACAGGCACGTGCCACCACACGGGCTAATTTTGTATTTTTAGTAGAGATGGGGTTTCACAATGTTGGACAGGCTGGTCTCGAACTGCTGACCTCAGGTGATCCACCCGCCTTGGCTTCCCAAAGTTCTGGGATTACAGGCACGAGCCACCATGCCAGGCCTCTTTCCAGAACTTTCTTTAAGAATCCATATGCAAGTGTATATGCATAACAGAGAGAGGTCAGTCCTTCCTTCTGATGGAGAGGTTAAGAGTCAAAATAAACAGACCCAGAAGCTGGGGGTGGGGTGGGAGTAGGGCCTCCTGGCATCACTGAGGGGAGCATGTAGCAGATGGGTGCCCAGTGAGTGGCCCAGTTGTCTGAGGAAAATGGTGTGGGGTATGAAGACTCCCTTTGTGTTTAGAGCATGTAGAAGACCAGCCCGCAGGTCCCTGAGAGAGGATATAGGAGAGATGGAGGTGAGTGGCTATGACTGCAAGAAGGGGAAGGGGCTGGACTTTGTCCTGCCCCCATACCTGTGGGTCAGCCTTGGGACCCTCTTTGACCCTTCGAAGAACCCACAGGAATCGATGGAGCCAAGCACCCAGGCTGCGCCTTTACCTTTCAGGCCTGTTCTCCAGAAGCAAGATCACTGCTTTGATGAAGATGGGCTCCTGCTGTCCAGGCCCTTCACTTAATAATGTATTGTAAATCTTAATAATGTATTGTAAATCTTAATAATGTATTGTAAATCTTGTAAATCTTTTTCCATTTCATTCAGTGTTTGCTGCGCATCAGGATGTTTGGTGGACATTCCATTGTGGATGGACCCTGGCTTCTTGCCCAACCGCTTATGTTGGAAATGCCCACCAGACTGGACCTCCCTGGAGACCAAACGCAGCCCATCTTGGGAGCTGGCCAGTGCCACATCCTCCCCCTCTTGCAGGGACCAGCTGAGTCAGTTGCTCCATCTCGCACCTCTCAACACCTTCCTGTGTGGCACTGGACCACCTGTGGAAGCCCTGGCATGCCTTGCTACCATAGCTCGCAGAAGTTATGGAGAAAAGGAGGCCCACACAGACTGAGAAAACACCAAGGCGAGGGCATGGCTGGGATCCCAGCGCAGGATCCCCGTTCTTCTGCAGTCACAGTCTTGGCTGAACTGAGCCCTTTCCTCCCAGTGTTTGGCTTGGATGCTAGACCAGGTGAGTCAGCCGTCCTGGCGCACTCTTTTGAGCTGAAAGTCACATCCAGATGGGGCTCTTGCCAGAAGGGCAGAATTATCGATCTCGTCTTCCCAGCCCGCTCTCTGAAACTAGGTCCCAGAACGTGTCCTGTGGGGAAGTGGGCAATGACAAGCCATAGGAGCTGACATAGATCAGCTCTAAGTAGCACGGAGCCTCTCATAGTCACCCAGGGTCTGGGCCCTCAAGCGAGAGACACACTTCTCTATGTGTCCTCAGATTCTTGGGCTTGAGCATGCACCTCCCAGAGGATGCCAGATAGACCTGGTTGGAATCCCAGCTTCATCACTGGCCAGTTGGGTGACCTTGGCCTTACCTCTCTGGGCCCTCAGAGATGAATTATTCTCATCTTAAAAATGGAAAATGTTGTCTGAGCTTATGAAGATAAAAAGGTCAATGCATATAAATAGAATAATAGGGCCTTAAAATTTCCACTAGACACTAATATGCACCATAGATGTGAAGATCCAAAGTGAGAGCCCGAGTCACCTTATGGAAGATTTTCTATGGAAATGCCAAAAAATCTGATCCAAGACTTTGAAACCCCTTTCCCACTTTGAGACACTGAAAATGTAGACAGACAGGTGATGGGAGGATGTTGTATGGCGGACGTCCTTGAAGAAAGCTGTGCTGTGAGTCCCATCCTGGGGACAGGTGAGCTCCTGCTCCCTTACCTCACACTTGGTAAGGGTGAGTGTCTGTGGGGCAGCTTCTTTAAGAGTCTAACATGAGGCCAGGTGTGGTGGCTCACACCTGTAATCCTAGCACTTTGGGAGGCCAAGCCGGGCAGATCATGAGGTCAGGAGTTCGAGACCAGCCTGGCCAACATGGTGAAACCCCATCGGTACTAAAAATACAAAAATTAGCTAGGTGCGGTGGCACACGCCTGTAATCCCAGCACTTTGGGAGGCCAAGCCAGGCGGATCATGAGGTCAGGAATTCTAGACCAGCCTGGCCAACATGGTGAAACCCCATCTCTACTAAAAATAAAAAAATCAGCTGGGCATGGTGGCAGGCACCTGTAATCCCAGCTACTCGGGAGGCTGAGGCAGGAGAATCACTTGAACCCAGGAGGCGGAGGTTGCAGTGAGCTGAGATTGCGCCACTGCACTCCAGCCCGGATGACAGAGTGAGACTCCGTCTCAAAAAAGAAAAAGAAAAAACAGAGCCTAACATGAGACCCCTACAACTGGGGAGCGGGGTGGCCTGGGGTCTAGTTTCACCTGGGAAATCTGGAAGGTGACAGGAGGGCTCACCAGCTGCTCTGGTGGGGCTGCTGCCACCTCACTGGGACCAGCCTGCACCCTCAGAGTTTTTTCTGGGGTAGGGAGGCAGGAGAGTTTCTTCTGAACAGACGTAGGTCCTGTGGCAGAGAGAGCCTGCAAGGACTCCCTGTCTTGAGTCTATGTAGAGGGATCCTAGCGGGAGAAGGTTGGAACTGAATGCCCATGGGCTGAGGATGGGGTCTCAGATGACCACCCGAAATGAGATTGGACTTGAGACACATCCATAGATAAAAGAGGATTTTGGGAGAAAGGCTGAGGCGGCACTCAGCCGGTAACTTGAGTGGAGGGGGTGTAAAATCACTCCATGAAAAAGAGGCAAAATTTAACATCTGCCTGCCAAGACAGTCTGAAGCCAATTCTATGGTAACTGGCTCGGGGAGGCCAAGTGGAACGAGAGAGAAGACAAAGCCCTCTCCATTGTGTCCACTGGAGGTTCCCAGCTGGCCAGGCACAAGCTGGGGGAAGAGAGAAGGATGTAAGGTAAAAATAAGCTCAGAGTTTTGATGAATACCTCACATTAAAGTTCCAATTTCTGGCTTGAGACTGCGTTTGCAACTAAAAGCAACCACAGACTATTCTAAGCATGAGCAGAAAAATCTCAGGCCTGCTGAAATTGGCATCCAGGCTGGGGAGGGTGTCCTATTCTGAATAATTATGGTGCAAAGAAATAGCACACTGGTTACTTAAGGCTCAGCAGCTTGGCAGCTGGGACACGCACAGCAATAGCTCTTTGTTTCACTGCCCCAGTCACCTGATGGTCTTTGGTTCACAGACTACTCTTTCTCTAGCTCATAGATTATTCCTTGAAGGATGTTTGTCTGAATATCAAGGTCAAGTTCTCTTAGCAAACGCCACTTCTTACCACTGATTATCTTGAGCCTAATTTCCCTAGAAGTCAGATGGGCCGGGTGTGGTGGCTCACACCTGTAATCCCAGCACTTTGGGAGGCTGAGGCGGGCAGATCACCTGAGGTCAGGAGCTCAAGACCAGCCTGGCCAACATGGTGAAACCCTGTCCCTACTAAAAATACAAAAATTAGCCATGGCAGTGGGAGCCTGTAATCCTAGCTACTCAGGAGGCTGAGGCAGGAGAATCACTTGAACCCGGGAGGCGGAGGTTGTTGTGAGCCAAGATCGCGCCATTGCACTCCAGCCTGGGCAACAGAGCAAAACTCCGTCTCAAAAACAAAAACAAAGAAGTCAGATAACCTCCCTGATGGATACTATCCTGAGAGAGAGAAGAACATGCCATGTTTTTTTCTCTGTTCCAGACAGCGGCAGTGCTACCCAAGAATCAGGCCAGGAGATGGAACCAGGCAGGCTGGCTTCTGCCTCTTAGAAGTCATGTGGCCCCATGGACAGACTTAAGCTCTCTGCCCTACTAGCTGGTCATCTGTAAAACAGTTGATAGTAATAATGTGTATCTCATAGGGTTAAGAGTATGTAATAAAATTATCTATTAGGTTCAACCCTAGAAATCCCTAACATTCAACCATTTTTTACTCTACAAAAATAGCAGTTTCTAATGATTCATCCAAATATGTAAACAATGCTTTGCAACCTCTCCATTGCTAGTTATTGTGTTAGACAAAACAAAACAGCAGTAACAACAAAATGTTTCCATCCGTGCTCCGAATAATGAGTCTCCAGAATTCTGTTTCCAGGAATGTCTCAAGGAGCCTGGTGAGTTGTAAAGCAGCCACGATCGACAGCTCAAGACCTGTGAATGCTCAAGACCTTCCTGGTTTCCTTGCTAGATTTTCCCAGTGCCCAGAGAGCTCACTGTCTCTCTTCTGGGCCTCACTGCAAAAACAAGCACAACCTGTGCCTCAAACACAAAAAACTCTCAATCATATTCTGAAATTTCACTACACTGCATCTCAATGGATGTTTATTGCATTCATCCTGCTTAACATCAAGTGCACCCTCTCAATTCTAAAGACTCGCATTTTTCTTTGGGTTTGAGAAATATTCATTTATTCTTTTTGTTTTTTGAGAATGGGTCTCACTCTGTCACCCAGGCTGGAGTGCAGTGGCGCCATCATGGGTCACTGCAGCCTCAACCTCCCAGGCTCAAGCAATCCTCCCACCTCAGCCTCCCAAGTAGCTGGGATTACAGGCACAAGCCACCACACCCAGCGTTTTGTTTTTTTTTTGTAGAAATGAGGTCTTGCTGTGTTGCCCAGGCTTGTCTTGAACTTCTGGCCTCAAGGGATTCTCCTTTCTTGGCTTCCCAAAGTGTTGGGATCACAGCCTTGAGCCAGCACGCCTGGCCTATTCATCTATTCTTTAAAAACTATATCACTCGGGCCAGGCGTGGTGGCTCACGCCTGTAATCCCAGCACTTTGGGAGGCTGAAGCGGATGGATCATGAGGTCAGGAGATCGAGACTAACACGGTGAAACCCCATCTTTACTAAAAATACAAAAAATTAGCTGGACGTGGTGGTGGGCGCCTGTAGTCTCAGCTACTCGGGAGGCTGAAGCAAGAGAATGGCGTGAACCTGGGAGGCGGAGCTTGTGGTGATCTGAGATGGGGCCACTGCACTCCAGCCTGGGTGACAGAGCAAGACTCTGTCTCAAAAAAAAAAAAAAATGTGTGTGTATATATATATACACATTATATATATATACATTATATATATATACATTATATATATATATACACATTATATATATATATGGCTTGTCAGGTTGATAAATTTGACTATATAAAAATTAAAAACTTGTGTATGAGAAAAGACTATATAAATGCAATAGAAAAAAGAGTTAAAGAGGAAGTTCACAGAAAAAGTGTCCCAAATGTCTAATAGACCGTGAAGGATAATCAGCCTTAGCAGAAATCAGGGTCATGCAAATTAAAATTATAGTGAGGTATAATTTCTCACCTATGAAATTGGAAAAGCTAAAAAGTCTGAAAATAATAAGTATTGGTGAGGATAAGGAAAATAGGAAGAGCTGTATACTGCTCGTGGAAGTATAAATAGAAGAGTAATTTGGCAGAATCTAGTAAAATAGGAAATGTGCAAATCCTATCATTTTGTAATTTTTCTAGATATACACTTGGAGAAACCTTCATCTATGTGCAGAAGGCAATATGTACTATTATTATATTGTTTCATTGTTTCGTGATGGTAAAAATTTGGAACTACTGCATAAGTCCATCTATAAATAAAGCACTATATAAAAATGTGGTATAGTTAGTTGTACAGTGAAATGTTCTATAGCAGTGTGCAGAAATTAACTGGCTGTTTATAAATGTGGAGAAAGCCAAAACTTATAGTGCTGAGTGAAAATAGCTAGTTGCAGAACCCTACATACAGTATGTTATTACTTAAAGCCACATACAAAGGCATCATATATATTATATACATTCTTATACTGTGTATTGTATTGGAAAAGTATATACAAATTTATGATGGTGGTTGCTGCCCTAAGGGAAAGGGAGGAGATTGGGGTCAGTAAGACCATTAGCCTTGTTTGTAATGTTTTATTTCTTTTAAAACATTAATTGAGCTGGGCACAGTGGTTCATGCCTGTAATCCCAGCACTTTGGGAGGCCAAGGCAGGAGGATCACCTGAGGTCTGGAGTTCGAGACCAGCCTGGCCAACATGGTGAAGCCCTGTCTCTACTAAAAACTCAAAAATTAGCTGGGCATGGTGGTGTGCATCTGTAACCCCAGCTATATGGGAGGCTGAGGCACGAGAATCGCTTGATCCCAGGAGGTGGAGGTTTCAGTGAGCCGAGATCATGCTACCGCACTCCAGCCTGGGTGACAGAGTGAGACTCGGTCTCATGAAAAAAAAAAATTAATTGAAGCACATGTAGTAAAACAATAAATTGTCAGTATTGATTGGTGGTAACATAGTATTATATTAGTTGCTGTTCTATTTTGTAACTTTAACATTTAAAAAATTCTATTCTGTTTTCTTCTTCTGGAACATCCATTAGAGGGATGTTGGAACTTCAGAATGTATTTTTCATATCTCTTAAATATATTAATTTATATTTTTCTTTTCTCATGCTGCATTCCAGAAGGGTCTCTCAGCTCAATTTTCCAGCTCAGTAATTCTTTTTATCTAACCTCTTTTTTGTTTTCCTTTTATAATACTGTTTTTATCATATTGTTAAAATAGTCACTGGTCAGTGTTTGTGTTTACAAAACCATTTTTGTTAAGACTTTGTCCCCTCTTTTGTCTGTCTATGTGAAGATGTTAGGAAGAAATGAAGCCGGCCAGGCGCAGTGGCTCACGCCTGTAATCCCAGCACTTTGTGAGGCCGAGGGGGGCAGATCACAAGGTCAGGAGTTTGAGACCATCCTGACCGATATGGTGAAACCCTGTCTCTACTAAAAATACAAAAATTAGCCAGGTGTTGTGGCTCATGCCTGTAATCCCAGCTACTGAGGAGGCTGAGGCAGGAGAATCACTTGAACCTGGGAGGCAGAGGTTGTAGAAAGCCGAGATTGCACCACTGCACTCCAGCCTGGGTGACAGAGTGAGACTCCATCTCAAAAAAAAGAAAGAAATGGTCTACCTCATATATACACACACACACATACACACACACACACACACACACACACACACACACACATAGCTATATGCTTATTAGAATGTCCAAGATAATAATTTAAAAAATGAACAATACAAAGAAATGGTCACAGGAACTCTGAAATACTGCTCAAGGGTATGCAAAATGATATGGTCATTTTTTTTTTAAATTTTACTTTAAGTTCTGGGATACATGTGCAGAACATGCAGGTTTGTTACATAGGTATACATGTGCCATGGTGGTTTGCTGCACCTATCAACCCATCATCTAGGTTTTAAGCCCCACATGCATTAGATATTTGTCCTAATGCTCTCCCTCCCCTTTCCCCCCACCCACCAACAGGCCGTGGTGTGTGATGTTCCCCTCCCTGTGTCCATGTGTTCTCATTGTTCAACTCCCACTTATGAGTGAGAAAATGTGGTGTTTGGTTTTCTGTTCCTGCGTTAGTTTGCTGAAGATGATGGTTTACAGCTTCATCCAGGTCCCTGCAAAGGACATGAGCTCATTCTTTTTTATGGCTGCATAGTATTCCATGGTGTATATGTACCACATTTTCTTTATCCAGTCTATCATTGATGGGCATTTGGGTTGGTTCCAAGTCTTTGCTATTGTAAATAATGCTGCAAAAAAGTATGTGTGCATGTGTCTTTATAGTAGAATGATTCATATTCCTTTGGGTATATACCCAGTAATGGGATTGCTGGGTCAAATGGTATTTCTGGTTCTAGATCCTTGAGGTATTTCCACACTGTCTTCCACAGTGATTGAACTAATTTACACTCCCACCAACAGTGTAAAAGCCTTCCTATTACTTCACATCCTCACCAGCATCTGTTGCTTCCAGACTTTTTAATGATCGCCATTCTAACTGGCATGAGAAGGTATCTCATTGTGGTTTTGATTTGCATTTCTCTAATGACCAGTGATGATGAGCTTTTTTTCATATGTTTGTTGGCCGCATAAATGTCTTCTTTTGAGACGTGTCTGTTCATATCCTTCACCTACATTTTTTTTTTTTGAGATGGAGTTTTTGCTCTTGTCATCCAGGCTGGAGTGCGATGGCATGATCTCGGCTCACTGCAACCTCCGCCTCCCCAGTTCAAGCGATTCTCCTGCCTCAGCCTCCCGAGTAGCTGGGATTACAGGCACCCACCATCATGCCCAGCTAATTTTGTATATTTAGTAGAGACGGGGTTTCTCCATATTGGTCAGGCTGGTCTTGAACTCCCAACCTCAGGTGATCCACCCGCTTCAGCCTCCCAAAGTGTTGGGATTACAGACGTGAGCCACCACGCTGGCCGTCTAACCTCCACCTCCATTTGTTTAAAAAAAATTTGTTTTCTAACCTCCTTCTTTTTAAAAAAAGAAAAAATTTGTCATAGAAGACTTAATATTAGATCTCTCCCCTTAACTAATTTCTAAGTGTGCAGTACCTAACTGTTGACTAGAGATTCGATGTTGCACAGCAGATCTCTAGAGCTTATTCATCTCGCTTGACTGAACCCTGATGCCTACTGGTTAGTAAGTCCCCAGTCCCTGGTAACTGCCATTCCACTCTTAGATTCCATAAATTTCACCATTTTAGACATCTCATATAAGTGGAATCATGCAGTTTGTCCTGTGACAGGATTTTTTTTCACTTAGCCTAATGTCCTCAAGCTTTATCCATTTTGTCACATATTGAAGAATGTCCTTTTTTTTTTTTTTTTTTTTTTTTTTTGAGATGGAGTCTCACTCTGTCACCCAGGCTGGAGTGCAGTGGTGTGATCTCGGCTCACTGCAACCTCCGCCTCCAGGTTCAAGTGATTCTTCTGCCTCAGCCTCCTGAGTAGCTTGGACTACAGGCATGCGCCACCACGCCTGGCTAATTTTTGTATTTTTAGTAGAGATGGGGTTTCACCATATTGTCCAGGCTGGTCTCGAACTCCTGACCTCATGATCCACCTGCCTCGGCCTCCCAAAGTGTTGGGATTACAGGCGTGAGCCACTGTGCCCGGCCAGAATGTCCTTCTTTTTAAAGGTTTAATAGTATTTCACTATATGTATATACCACATTCTCCTCATATATTCATCTGTCAATAGACATTAAGGTTGTTTCTACATCTTGCCTATTGTGAATAGTGCTGCAGTGAACGTAAGAGTGCTAATATCTCTTTAAGATCCCGATCTCAATTCCTCTGGGTAAATATCCAGAAGTAGGATGCTGGATTATATGGCGGTTCTAGTTCTAATATTTTGAGAAACCTCCATACTGTTTTTCACAGTGGCTGCACCTGCAACATTTTGCATTACCATCAACTGTGTGCAAGAGTTCTGATTTTTCTACAACCTTACTAACACTTGTCTTTTTATTTTATTTTATTTTATTTTGAGACAGAGTCTCGCTCTGTCACCCAGGCTGGAGTGCAGTAGCATGATCTCAGCTCACTGCAAGCTCCGCCTCCCAGGTTCACACCATTCTCCTGCCTCAGCCTCCCGAGCTGGGACTACAAGCGCCCGCCACCATGCCCAGCTAATTTTTTGTATTTTTAGTAGAGACGGGGTTTCACTGTGTTCGTCAGGATGGTTTCGATCTCCTGACCTCATGATCCGCCCACCTTGGCCTCCCAAAGTGCTGGGATTACAGGCATGAGCCATCACACCCGGCCAACACTTGTCTTTTATGTTTTTGGTAATAGCCATCCTCATAGGTGTGAGGTGATAGCTTATTGCTGTTTTGATTTGCCTTTCCCAGATGATTAGTGATGATTAGTGCTCAATTAGGGATTGAACATTTTTTCATATACTTGTTGGCCATTTATATGTCTTCTTCGTAGAAATGTCTATTCAAATCATTAGCCCATTTTAAAATCAGGTTATTAGTTTTTTCTAAACTATTGAGTTGTAGAAGTTCCCTATATTTTTTATTTTATTATATTTTATTTTTGAGACAGAGTTTCGCTCTTGTCACCCAGGCTGGAATCTCAGCTCACTACAACCTCTGTCTCCTGGGTTCATATGATTCTCCTGCCTCAGACTCCCTGGTAGCTGGGATTACAGGTATGCACCATCACACCTGGCTAATGTTGTATTTTTGGTAGAGATGAGGTTTCACCATGTTAGCCAGGCTGGTCTGGAACTCCTGACCTCAGGTGATCCTCCTGCCTCGGCCTCCCAAAGTGTTGGGATTACAGGCGTGAGCCACCGTGCCTGGCTCCTTATACTTTTTAGAGATTAACCCCTCACCAGTCATATGGTTTGAAAATATTTCCTCTCATTTCATAGGTTGCCTTTCATTCTTGATTCTTTTCTTTGCCATGCAGAAGCTTTTTAGTTTGATGTAGTCCCACTTTTTATATTTGCTTTTGTTGTCTGTGATTTTGGTGTCATATCTGTGAAATCATTGCAAAGATCCATGTCACAAAGATTTTCCTCAGTGTTTTCTTCTAGGAATTTTACAGTTTCCTCTTTCTTTTCTGATCTCACTTAACTGTTTTATCTTTTTTTCTGAGTTAGTCTAGCCAAAGATTTGTCAATTTTCTTTATCTTTTCAAAAAGCTAATTCTTAGTTTTGTTCATTTTTTTCTTTTCTTTCCTTTTTTTTTTTTTTTTTTTTTTTTGAGACGGAGTCTTGCTTTGTTGCCCAGGCTGGGGTGCAATGGCACGATCTCGGCTCGCTGCAACATTTGCCTCCCAGGTTCAAGTGATTCTCCTGCCTCAGCCTCCGAAGTAGCTGGGATTACAGGCATGCGCCACCACACCCGGCTAATTTTGTATTTTTAGTAGAGATAGGATTTCGCCATGTTGGTCAGGCTGATCTTGAACCGCTGACCACAGGTGATCAGCCCACCTCAGCCTCCTAAAGTGCTGGGATTACAGGTGTGAGCCACCGTGCCCGGCCGATTTTTTTCTATTGTTTTTCTTTTTTCAATCTTATCTGTGCCCTAATCTTTGGTATTTCTTTCTTTCTGCTAACTTTGGGCTTAGGTTGTCATTTTTTTCCCAGTCAGTTGAGTTGTGAAACTTATGAGATGCAACAAAAGCAGTCCTAAGAGGGTATAGTGATACATACCGACATTTACAGTTAAAGTAATTATTGATAGAAAAGGATTTACTATTGCCATTTTGTTAGTTGTTTTCTGATAGCCTCGTGGGGTTTTTTTCTGTCTTTTCCCCCTTGCTGTCTTCCCTTGTGTTTTATTTTTTTGTATTGCTATGCTTTGATTCCTTTTGTGTGTGTGTATGTGTGTGTGTGTGTAACTTCTTCTTTTTTTTTTTGAAGACGGAGTCTCGCTGTGTCACCCAGGCTGGAGTGAAGTGGGGCAATCTCGGCTCACTGCAACCTCTGCCCTCTGGGTTCAAGTGATTCTCCTGCCTCAGCCTTCTAAGTAGCTGGGATTACAGGCATGCGCCACCATGCCCAGCTAATTTTTGTATTTTTAGTAGAGGTGGGGGTTTACCATGTTGGCCAGGCTGGTCTCAAACTCCTGACCTCAGGTGATCCACCTGCCTCGGCCTCCCAAAGTGCTAGGATTACAGGGGTGAGCCACTATGCCTGGCCCTTGTGTAACTTCTATAGGTATTTATTTTGTAGTTACCTTGGGGCTTAGGTAAAATATTTTATAGTTATGACAGTTTATTTTAAGCTGATAATTTAAGTTTAATCATGTACAAAAGCTTTACACTTTAACTTCTACCCCCATCACACTTTATATTATTGTCATAATTTATATCTCTTAATTCTGTGCATATGCCAAGACTTGAATATTTGTGCCATCAGAAACTCATGTTGAAACCTAATCCCCAGTGTGGCAGTATTGAGAGGTGGGGCCTTTAAGAGGTGATTGGATCATGAAGGCCCTACCCTCATGAGTGGATTAATCCATTATTGGATTAATGGATTAATGGGTAAATAGATTATCACAGAAGTGGAACTGGTGGCTTTATAAGCAGAGGAAGAGAGACCTGAGCTAGCGCTCTCAGCCCCCTCACCATGTGATGTCCTGTACTGTCTTGGGATTATGCAGGGTGTCCCCACCAGCAAGAAGGCCTCCACCAGATGTGGTCCCTTGACCTTGGACTTCCCCAACTCTAGAACTTTAAACAATAAACTTCTTTCATTTATAGATTACCCTGTCTCAGGTATTCAGTTATAGCAACAGTAAATGGATTAAGAGTATATTTTAATATATTTTTGGTTATAGTTCTTTTCTTTTCTTTCTTCTTCTTCTTTTTTTTTTTTTTTTTTTTGACAGAGTCTTGCTCTGTGGTCCAGGCTGGAGTACAGTGGTGTGATCTCAGCTCACTGCAACCTCTGTCTCTGGGGTTCAAGCGATTCTCCTGCCTTGGCCTTCCCAGTAGCTGGGATTACAGGCATGTGCCACCATGCTTGGCTAATTTTTTATCCTTTTAGTGGAGGTGGGGTTTCAACATGTTGGCCAGGCTGGTTTCGAACTTCTGACCTCAAGTGATCTGCCCGCCTTGGCCTCCCAAAGTGTTGGGATTGTAGGCATGAGCCACCATGCCTGGCCAGTTATAGTTATTTTCCATCTTTTTTCTTTTAACTTGTATAGGAGAATTAAAAGTGATTTCTCCATCACCATTACAGTATTACAGTATTCTATATTTGTCTATACATTTACCTTTACTAGTGAGTTTCACACTTTCTTTTAATATTGTGTGGCTATTTAGCATACTTTCATTTCAACTTGAAGAACTTCCTTTAGTATTTCTTGTAAGGCAGGTCTAGTGATGAACTCTCTCAGCTTTTATTTGTCTGGTAGTCTTTATTTCTCTTTCATTTTTGTAGGACAGTTTTGTCAGGTATAGTAGTCTTGGTTGGCAGTTTTTTCTTTCAGTGCTTTGAATATATCATCCTACTCACTTCCTAGCTCAGTAATTCTTACAAATTGTGATTATTTTGTTGTCAGCTCATCTGCTTAATTTTTTATTTCCATTACAAAATTTTTGAGATGCCTTATTGACTTTTTTTTTTAAATCACAGCTTGCCTAAATTTGTTTTTATGTCTTGGCTATTAGACCTTCCCTTATTCTTCCAAGTATTTGCTTTTTTATTTTTTTATTTTTTTTGGAGATGGAGTCTTGCTTCTATCGTGCAGGCTGTAGTGCAGTGGTGCAATCTTGGCTCACTGCAACCTCCACCTCCCAGGTTCAAGTGATTCTCCTTCCTCAGCCTCATGAGTTGCTGGGATTACAGGTGTGTGCCACCACACCCAGATAATTTTTATATTTTTAGTAGAGACAAGGTTTTGCCATGTTGGCCAGGCTGGTCTCGAACTCCTAACCTCAGATGATCCACCCACCTTGGCCTCCCAAAGTGCTGGGATTACAGGTGTGAGCCACTGCACCCAGACTCTTCTGAATATTTGAATTGCATTAAGTTTTGCTATGATTACACTTGGCCTTTGTAAGTTCTTTTTTTTTTTTTTTAATGGTTCTATTTCTTTCATAGTGTTGGCCTTACACAAATACTTGCTGATTGTTGATGTGCTCATTGTTTTAATTGAGAGACTCTGTTAGGCTCTCTGATGTCTGTGCTGCTTGCTTTGGGAAGGAGTGGGATGGAAGTGGGATTGGAGAAAAGGGAGGGTGGGCAGTTGGGAACAGGGTATGGCACAGGCTGGTCTTGTGGATATGAGTGCTCCAGTTTCTGGTTTGCATGGAGCACTGCTTTGTCTCTCTGACCCAAGCTGACAGCCATTGCCCTACCTGGTGGGAACCCAGTTGCCTCTGGCTGGCTGGGCATTTGTGAATATGTGAGCAGGTATTGGTTTATGGAGGCCAAACACGTGGCAGTTCCTCTTGATGGTTTCTCCCTTTGGGTTGCCCCAGATCCCTCCAGCTCCCAGGCCCTTCCTCCTTGGTCATGGTGCTCTCCCATCCACATTTTAAACTAAGTTTTCTTTCTTCAGTCAGATCCTATCATCATTTCACCAGCATTTCATCTTTAGGAATTCTCCACCGTTTTTGGTCCATCAAGAGACCACTTCATGATTTTGAGTTATAGCTTTAAAAAAGTCTTTTCTTTCATTTGTTAGGAATATATCTTATTTAGGCCAGGCGCGATGGCTCATGCCTATATTCCCAGCACTTTGGGAGGCCAAGGCGGGTGGATCACTTGAGGTCAGGAGTTTGAGACTGGCCTGGCCAACATGGTGAAAGCCTGTCTCTACTAAAAATATAAAAATTAGCCGAGCATGGTGGCGGGCACCTGTAATCCCAGCTACTCAGGAGGCTGAGGCAGGAGAATCGCTTGAACACAGGAGGCAGAGGTTTCAGTGAGCCAAGATCGTGCCACTGCATTCCAGCCTGGGCAACAGAGCAAGACTTGGTCTAAAAAAAAAAAAAAAAAAAAAGGATGTATCTCATTTATAGTCCACCATCTGTGAATCTCAGGCTTGGAGAGAAAGCTTACGTCTAGATACATAGATTTGGGACTCATTTGAATAATAAATGAAAACTTGAAGCATGGTAGGACAAAAGATATTCAGAGAATGTGTGCACAGAGAGAGGAAAAACCAGCCAAGGGCAGAATTTAGGAAATTACCTGTTCTTAAGGGGTTGGGATACAATGAGAAATCAGTGGCAAGGGGTGATTGGAGAGGTAACAGGAGTCTCAGAGAGGGGAAGAGGAGAGAGGAAGGATAAAGACTACAGAGAGGTGATCTGTCAGTCCTGAGGAAAGGTCACAAGGACAACATCCGAGGCTGCTGGTGACCTGTGAGAGCTGCCTCACTGGAGGGGTGAGGCCAAAGCCAGATGGAGATGAGCTAATGAGTGAGTGGGAGAAAGCAAAGGAAGGCAGTAGGCACCCTCCGATGACGGTAGTGAGAGAGGGCAGGCAAAGTGGAGGGGGCTTGAAGGCATAACAGAGCCAGGAGCAGATTCTGGAAGACCCTTGGAAACATCCCTCCGTTGAATTGACTCCCCCATCCCACCCCTACCACCTGCAGGGCTTGGCTCTGATCTTGCAGTACAGGAGCAAATATCCTCAGTTGGTCGTTGTTAAGGGTGGTGGAGATCAATCCTTCTCTCCAGTCACCGCAATCTGATCTAGCAGGTATCTGCTGTTCTCTGGCCTCTCTTTTTCCTCTGGAGGTGGAGAAGTCCCACCATCCTGAGCACATCCCCTCCACTCTCCTTCCCCCCATGATCATGTCCCTAAAACACCTCAGTTTGCCAGTTCATTGCCCCCACATCTTCCGTGGTTTCCCCATAAACTAAGCCCCTAGCATATCCTTTAAGGCTCCCCATGCTCTGGCCCTTTCTCTGTAATCTCAGTCCCTCCACACATTGCTGCTGAGCCTCTATTAAGAGCCAGGCAAGGGGCTCATGGCTTAGCACTGGGGCACTGAGACACCTCTGGAGCAAATGGTACAATACCATGTGGAATGTTCTGGCATCAAGGTTTGTCCTGGGGCCAGATGGCACTGAGACGGGAGTGGACTAGGTCTAGGGTAAGAAAGATAGGGGTTGGGCTGGCATGTGCAAAGGCCCAGAAACAAGTCTGTGGTACACTTGGTAAAGGCAGTTGGCTTTGTCGTCTAGACTCTAGAGCAGTGTGTGAGTTTGTGGAGGGAAAGAAAGGGTGAGAAAGATGGGAAAGGAAGCCTGTGAGAGCTGTGGAAATGCACTCTGTTCCAAGGCGATGGGCCACGCGGAAGGGCTGTGAGCAGGAGGCAGCCTATCCATATTGATGTTCCATAGAGATGGCCCTGGGGCCTGTGCTGGAGGAAAGACGGCACAGGAAGATCCATTAGGAGGCTTGTTCTGTGCAGGCAGGTGGTGACGAGGACCTGTGCTTCCCGCAGCAGTGGGAGGTGATTAGAGACAGTTCCACACTGTAGCAGGTGAGGGCTGGTGAGGAGCAAAGGTGTGGTGGGCATTTCTAAAGAAAACGCCTGATTAGGTGATGCAGACCCCACAACATGTGACACACGGAACGGAGCAGGAGAGGTTGCTGAGCCTCATTATCCGTCCTGCTCCCAGGCCCCACAATTCCACCCACACATCCTCCACCCAACAGGTCTCTTCTCTGAACACGCGCTGTCTTGCCACACCTTTGCTAATGGTGTTCTTTCTGCCTGAAATGCCCTCACCACCCACTCTTCACCACCTCGTACATAATAAAAAAAATGATAATTAGAGCAACCTTTTGAGCTCTCACCACAAATCCAGGGAGGATGCTGACTTCTCTGTTTGTATATTTAATACTCACAACAAGCCTATGAGATGGACGTTATTATTCCAGTTGCTAGATGTAGAAACTGGAGCCCAGAGGTGGTTACGTTGCTGATGGGCACCAGGCAGAGCTGGTTCCTGGGCTCTATGGCACTGGGAAATGCTAGGACCAGTTCTTACCAGTCCCTGGAATGAGCTCCCATCCATAGTTCCTGGGCTCGCCTGTCTCGTGGAGGAGAGGGCAGGAGGGAGGGAGCACCAGCACTGAGGACTTTTCCCTTCTTGAAGCAGTCTCTTTCCAGTCTCTTGCATTCTCTTCTTTTTTTTTTCTAGACAGAGTCTCGCTCTGTGGCCCAGGCTGGAGTGCAGTGGTGCAATCTCAGCTCACTGCAACCTTCACCTCTTGGGTTCAAACGATTCTCCTGCTTCAGCCTCCTGATTAGCTGGGACTACAGGCATGGGCCACCACGCCCAGATAATTTTTTTTAATTTTTAGTAGAGACAGGGTTTTGCCATGTTGGCCAGACTGGTCTCGAACTCCTGACCTCAGGTGATCCTCCCATCTTGGCCTTCCAATGTGCTGGGATTATAGGTGTGAGCCACTACACCCAGCCTCTGGCATTCTCTTCCTCTCTACTTCCCTACCCTTCAGGGTTGGGGTTCTTTCACGTTCTAACTTAGACCTTTGTGTCATCACTCAGTCCATGCTCATGTCTTAATGACCACCTGCATCTAGCAATTCCCGACTCTTTATCTTGATCCCAGCCCTCTTTCTCAAGCACCAGCCATGTATATCCACCTACCTAGTTGACATCCCAACTTAAACATGTGGCATGGAATACAGAATTCACGATCTTCTTCTCCCTCCCCTCCCTCTTCTCTTCCCCACATCACTGAGTGACCCACCATCCAGCCTCCCCAGGGCTGAACCCAGAACCCCATGTGTCCTTTACTTATCTGCCCACGATGCTCAACCTCTCTCAGCCAGCTTACAACCACCAGGTTCGGTCGATTTTCCTTTAAACATCTCTTAACTCTCTATTCCCTTCCATCCCTACCATTACCCTATGTCTGGTTGACTGCCATGGCTTTCTTCTTTATTCCTTTTCCTCCATCTATTGTCTTAATGGCAACGATAGACATCTTTCTGAAGTGGAGAATAGCTTACATGCAATGCAGCATGGACTCCAGGGCCAAACTACCTGGGTTCATATTGTGGCTTTCTTACTTACTACCTATATGACCTTGGGGAAATTACTTATCCTTCAGCTTCCTCATCTGTAAAATGAGAATATTAACAGGTTTTATACAATCTTTTATCCAAAACCCTTGGGATCACATATGTTTCAGAATTCAGAAATTCTGCATTTTATAAAAGGCAGTACTTTGCCTGTGTCTTGTATTTTTTAACACTCCTAGTGAGATCTGGGGCAATACCCTGCAATCAGACATGGCATTTCTGCAGTGAAACATACAAATATTCACATTACATGAGGATAAATAAAGACAGAATGTCAGTTCACATCAATAAAGATGTCAGTTCAGCTCAAATTTTGCTGCCAAATAAGTTATGAAAATCTTTAGGTTGGGAGAGTTTTGGATTGTGGAAATTGATGTTAGCAGATAGTGGACCTACTTCATAAGGCTGGTAGAAAGATTACATAAATTTGGTCAGGCGTGGTGGCTCATGCCTGTAATCCCAGTGTTTTGGGAGGCTGAGGCAGGTGGATCACCTGAGGTCAGGAGTTTGAGACCAGCTTGGCCAACTTGGTGAAACCCTGTCTCTATTAAAAATACAAAAATTAGCTGGGTGTGATGGCACACGCCTGTAGTCCTAGCTACTCGGGAGGCTGAGGCAGGAGAATTGCTTGAATCCAGGAGGCAGAGTTTGCAGTGAGCCGAGATCATGCCACTGCACTCCAGCCTGGGCAACAGAGCAAGACTCCATCTCAAAAAGAAGAAGAAGAAGAAGAAGAAGAAGGAGAAGGAGAAGGAGAAGGAGAAGGAGAAGGAGAAGGGGGGAGGGGGAGGGGGAGGGGGAGGGGAGGGGCAGGGGGAGGGGGAGGGGGAGGGGGAGGGGGAGAAGAAGGATTACATGAATTAAGTGTGCCTATAATTTTATAGTCATTTGCAGAGTGCTTGGCACACAGTTGGGTGATATAAATGCTGGTTAAGGGGCATTTTTCTACTTAAACCCTCCTATGGAATCTCCTAGGTCCTGGGAGAAACCTCACTCCTGGGAAGCTCCTGCGTGCTACCCCTGTCAGCTGGGAGACAGCTCTGCCGCATTTTTTTCAGCTCCTCCATTGCTCTGCTGATTCACAGCCTCCAGCTTCCAGAACCTTTCCCCTGTCGGGACAGTAGTCCAACTCCGTTTTCACATGCTTGTCCTATTTGCTCGTTGGGTTCCAGGAGGCTCTCTCCGTCCCCTGGCTCTGTGTATGGCCCATCGTCCTTACCACACTGTCCTGCAAGTGCTCGTTAACTCACCTGGCTTCTCCACTGCCCTCTCTGTTCCCTCAATGAAGGAACCCTGGGATCTTGCTCGCCCCTAGTATCTGGCACATAGTATACCCCCAGGAAGTATTTATTGTGAAAATCAATAAATTACTTGAATTGATATTTGTTGAGCATCTGTGTGCGCCAGGCTGGTGGTAAGCCTTTTGCACAATCATTCCATGCAGATTGCAAAGCCCCTCTCTGAGGTAGCATCGTAACCCCTGCTTTCCCTTTGAAGCTTGTGCTCCCCAGTCTCCTACCTTCCGGTCCTCCCGTATCTGTCGCTGGGTCACCTCGCTTGCCCACTAAAGATTTTGGCATGAATTCCACGGTTTTCCCTGGCAGCTCAGGGCACTTCCCATGTCCTTGTTGAGAAAGCCCCATGCTGGCTTCCCTGTTCTTGAGGCCCCTCATCTCTGGGGGATTGACTCACTTCAGTCACCCACTCCTGAGGCCACACACAAGATACAAACTCCAAAGCCCACCCCCATTTTGTGCCCCACACCCCTGTCCTCCCCTCATGCAGACCCCCACTACTCTCCATGTAAACATCATTTTATAACGAGGCATCTTTCAGCACACCAACCTGCCATTCCCTGCAAAGCTCTACACATTGGTTTTGTCTGCATCTGTTTTTTAGCAAAAGGACTTACTGCCACATTTTAAAAGATCCAGTCATTTTACACACACAAAAAATCCAGATTTATGGCTTTCCTTAGAGGAGAAAAATCAGAAGATCTGAACTCGAGCCTTGCATTCCTGCCAGAGATCAAGCAGCCTGGGCTCCTCTCCAGTTTGCCTAATTTCTACCACACCCTCTTCTCTTATTTATCTTACCTGACCGGCCTGAAGGCATCTGAGTACGTGACCTTTGTCTTGGGTGGAAAAGTTTTCAAGGCAGGCAAAAAAATCTTATGTTGGCCAACCCAGAAGTTTCTTGGTCATAAGACAGTATGGATGACCATGTCCCCTGTTTGTTGAGCACTGACTATATGCTGGCACTTCACAGGCAGTGCGCCTCTTGATCCTTACACAACCCTAAGAGGTGCAAATTATTATTCCCCCACCTTTTTTTTTTCAGGTAAGAAAACCAGGTGCTCAGAAAGGGCAAGTAATTTGCTTACTGACACACAGGTAGAAAGTAGCAAGACTTTGTAGGTGCATGAACAAAGATTGCTCCAAGTACCAGACCATTTGGATCTTGGTGAAACGTGCAAGATATGAGTGCAGATTGTGAGGAAGCCCCTGACACCTTTGGCCAACAGGATCTGGCTTTCATAGAGAACCAAACCCTTCATAGGGTTTGGTATAGTCTTAAATACAGTAGACATGCTGGAAGATTTTTGAAGAGAAATATTTTGCTTGTAAAACTCTTGGCTGGCTCATGCCTGTAATCCCAGCACTTTGGGAGGCCGAGGCGGGTGGATCATCTGAGGTCAGGGGTTCGAGACCAGCCTGACCAATATGGTGAAACCCTGTCTCTACTAAAAATACAAAAATTAGCCAAGCATAGTGGTGTGTGCCTGTAATCCCAGCTACTCAGGAGGCTGAGGCAAGAGAATTGCTTGAACCCGGGAGGCAGAGGTTGCAGTGAGTTGAGATCGCACCATTGCTCTCCAGCCTGGGCAACGAGAGTGAAACTCCATCTCAAAAAATAAAATAAAATAAAACAAACTCTCTAATGACCTGATTGGTAGGGTTGGGAGTGAGTGTACGTGGTTATAGGTCCAGAATGATGCTCCAATAAGGATAGGAAGCAAAAAGGAGGAGGCCCAGACCCAGGGGGAAATGGCTGAGGGCAGAGAGGCTGCAGGTGAGGGTGGAAAGGACACCAGTTTGCTTTTGCTTCCGGAGACAGGAAGCAGGGCCCTTGCAGGCTCCCGGAGACAATGGCATCTCTGCTGTAGGAGTTTGAGGGGGAAGTCTGGGGCTGCCTCAGACTCTGAGATAGAGGGGCTGTCAACTCTGACTCTCGAAACATGCATTCCTGCTACCTATTTCTTCTTCCTCTTTGGTTCTTACCTGACTCTCCTGGGGGTGTGTACCCTCCCTCGCCTCTACTTCTGAAACAAATACTCCATTGGCTCTGCTGCAACCTCATCTCCCTTTGGGTCTGACACAAAGTGGTCCCTCTGCCTGGGGTTTCACTTCTGGGGATCTGGGACTTATCACTTGTCTGAAGCTCTCTCAATGACAGGTTGAATGAAGGCCCAGGGTCTTCCCAGACAGGGCGGCACCCAGGCAGCCAGACAGGGGAGCATGGTGCCTGGGCTTCTGTGAAGGCCTTTTCCCACGCGGAAGGGAAACAGTGGCCTCTTGTACTTTGTCTTTCAAAACTCTGACAAACATGGGGTAATGCTTATGATAGGGGTTAAGAAAAGCAGGATTCAGTCGTGTAAATACCGTGTGAGTTTAGCAATCGAGAAAGGTACGAGGAGGGAGATGTACCAACACATCTGGAGGGATTATCCTATGCTGGTGCCATTGTGGGAGATTTATCTTCTCTCTCCCTTTCCCTTCCAGATTTTCTACCACTTCCAGGTCTTCTACAATGAACAAGTATTACTTTTCTTTATTTTTCTTTTTTTTTTTTTTTTGAGACAGAGTCTTGCTTTTGTTGTCTAGTGCAGTGGTGCCCATAGCTCATTGCAGCCTCAACCTCCCAGGCTCAAGCGATCCTCCCACCTCAGCCTCCCGAGTAGCTGGAACTACAGGTATGTGCCATCATGCCTGGCTAAAGGTGTTGCTTTTCTAAGAAAGACTTTTTTTTTAAAGAAGTTTCATCTAAAAATTTGTGACTGATAATAAGAACGTTAATATTTAATTGAAAGCTTGGAAGGAAAAACATCCAAAATTTAACTCTGCTTCTTTCTGGAATCTCACCTGACCCTCCAAATAGGGAACGCCCAGCTCAAGTAGTGTGTCTGTCCCTCTTGCCCTGTGTATTCTTCTTCATGGCGTTGTGACGACCTGACATACTTTATGCCCATGGAATCGCCTCTTGTCTGCTTCCCCCACTGGCATGTCAGCAGCACAGGAACAAAGGCCTTTCTGGTTGTGTTCACCAGAGTAGAGTTCACCGCCATAGCCCAGAGTAGACCTGCCAGTGAGAAGGAGCTCTCTACACATTTGAATGAAGGAATAGCCAGCTTGTGAGCAATTTCAGTGTTCTTCTTATTTATTTATTTTGAGACAGGGTCTCACTCTGTTGCCCAGGCTAGAGTGCAGTGACACGATCTTGGCTCACTGCAACTTCCACCTCCCACGTTCAAGCAATTCTCGTGCCTCAGCCTCCCAAGTAACTAGAACCACAGGCACCCACCACCACGCCCAGCTAATTTTTGTATTTTTGGTAGAGACGGTGCTTCATCATGTTGGCCAGGCTGGTCTCGAACTCCTGGCCTCAAGTGATCCATCCACCTTGGCCTCCCAAAGAGCTGGGATTACAGGCATGAGCCACTGCGCCCGTCCTTTAGTGTTATAGTTACTATATTTCTGAGTTTCCAGCTGTTTATCCAATAAACTTTCATTGCTTTCATGATCAGAAAAAAATGAATAAATATTATTTTTTTCCTCCATGAAAATAGCACAATGAAGCAAACTCTCAATTCTAACATTTGAGAATGAAGTTCTTTTCTATTGAAGTTAGCATTTATTTTTATTTATTTATTTTTTTTGAGATGCAGTCTCACTCTGTCACCCAGGCTGGAGTGCAGTGGCGCGATCTTGGCTCACTGCAACCTCCACCTCCTGGTTCAAGCCTTTGCTTCCTGGGTAGTTGTGATTACAGGCCTGTGCCACCACGCCCAGCTAATTTTTGTATTTTTAGTAGAGACGGAGTTTCACCATGTTGGCCAGGCTGGTTTCAAACTCCGGACGTCAGACGATCCACCCACCTCGGCCTCTCAAAGTGCTGGGATTAAAAGCGCGAGCCACCACGCCTGGTCTGAAGTTAGCATTATTTTAAGTCTCAAAAATACATGAGAAACCTGCTGGTGTGAGTCACATGTCTGTGTGGGCACATTCCTGCTGAGCTGGTTGAAAGCATAGATGTGTGGAAAAAAGATTCCTCTCTATGCACCACTCTTTGCCCACAGGGCCATCGATGGTCAACAGGATAGACCTGTGTAAATCTGCCTTTCCAGAAGACTGGCTGGGAAACCCATGTGCTGTCTCTCCCTCTTGCCCTGTCTGTTCACCTTTTGGTCTTTGGTCAGCAGGTGCAGGGATGTGTTTGCCAATAGGGTTCCTGAAAGCTTGTCTGATTTAGACCTCCAGAGCCACCTGGGGGACATGTCAGAAGGAGAGGGGCTGGGCCTGTCCCCAGATGGACCCCTGCTCTTCTGGGAGGACAAACTGGAACTGGTCTGGATCCAGCTGCGACGCTGCTAGAGGAGAACGAGGCATCTTTTGCCCTCCAGCATCTGGAGCCTGCCTCTCCAGGATGGGTACACCAGGCCTCTGCCTGCTCCCCGTTCCTTTCCACATTCCCCTTCTCTTACCTGCTTGCTACCCAGCTTGAAGGGCCTGTTTTTCCTGCTCAGGAACATTACTTATTTAGGTGATATTCAGAGCTATCTTCAAATTACAGATCACCTTGTCTACCATCCTGGAAAACATCTCTCTCTTTTTTTTTTTTTTTTTTTTTTCTGAGACAGAGTCTCACTCTGTTGCCAGGCTGGAGTGCAGTGGCGAGATCTCAGCTCACTGCAACCTCTGCCTCCTGGGTTCAAGTGATTCTCCTGTCTCAGCCTCCCAAGTAGCTGGAACTATAGGTGCATGCCACCACGCCGAGCTAATTTTTTTTTTTTTTTTTTTTGAGATGGAGTCTTGCTCTGTCACCCAGGCTGGAGTGCAGTGGCGCAATCTAGGCTCACTGCAACCTCCGCCTCCCAGGTTCACGCCATTCTCCTGCCTCAGCCTTCCTAGTAGCTGGGACCACAGGTGCCCACCACCACGCCCGGCTAATTTTTTGTATTTTTAGTAGAGATGGGGTTTCACTATGTTAGCCAGGATGGTCTTGATCTCCTGACCTCATGATCCACCCGCCTCGGCCTCCCAAAGTGCTGGGATTACAGGCGTGAGCCACCGCGCCCAACCAATTTTTGTATTTTTAGTGGAGACGGGGTTTCACCATGTTGGCCAGGCTGGTCTTGATCTCTTGATCTTGTGATCCGCCCCCCTCGGCCTCCTAAAGTGCTGGGATTACAGGCATGAGCCACCGCGCCCAGCTGGAAAACCTTTCTACGCATTATGAAGCTTTCTGATCTCTGATAACAGCACTTCGTTCATTTATTTATTTTTGTTTGTTTGATAACAGCATTTCTGACCACAGACTCTTTCATGGAATTGTAGCAGCTTCACTAGTGGGAATTTTACTTTGTGACACTTTCCCTACATCGATGGCCAGCATCTCCTCCCTTCTCTTTCCTTCTCCAGACTTCTAAACGTTGTGCTTTTCCATCTCACACAAGCAGGTTCAAGCCAGTGGAAGAGGTGGCCTGCCTCCCAATTGCACCAAGGGATGCATATTTCTACGTAGTTTGCTGTAGCTCTATTTCATTTTATACATCAGCTACCATCATCGTTTATGGACACTTTCTCTCCTCATTCTGGGAGAAGCCCAGAGGCTTTCTGAAAATATCCATGAACTCTGGGGTGGATGTTCTCAGGAGCCGTCTGATGAGTTCCTGCATCTTCAGCACTGCTGAGGTCATTTACCTCCCACATTTCATGGTGATTCTTTCCCTTTGCTCCCACCAACCCAGATAGGAGCCTTTTCTATGTGTTCTTCCAGAATCGCTCATGCAACACGGCTGGTTTAGAAGCAGACTTTATTTTTTTAATTTTTTGAGATAAGGTCTTCCTCTGTTGCCCAGGCTGAAATGCAGTGAAGATTTTATTGATAAGGTTGGATTTTTTTGGTCACCCAAGGCAAGCCATTTTAGCGTTAGACAGTCCTGCTTTTGAGAGTGCTCTGCAGCCCTGCTGCTGGCGACTCCTTGCTGGTGCCCTGTCTGCTCAGGCTCAGGCCTCTGCTAAGGGCCTTGGCTCCTCCCCTTGCCTAGAATCTGCTGCTGGACTGTAGAAAAGCCATATGCCACCCTCTCCCAATTTTCCCTCAGGGGTGAAGTGACAAAGTTAGTTTTGTTTGTTTTTAATTTTTTATTTTAATTTTATTTTATTATTTTATTTTATTTTTTTGATACGGAGTCTCACTCTGTCACCAGGCTGTAGTGCAGTGGCACAATCTCAGCTCACTGCAACCTCCTCCCCTCGGGTTCAAGCAATTCTCCTGCCTCAGCCTCCCGAGTAGCTGGGACTACAGGTGCCTGCCACCACGCCTGGCTAATTTTTTTTTTTTTTTTTTTTGTATTTTTAGTAGAGATGGGGTTTCACCATGTTGGCCAGGATGGTCTCGATCTCTTGACCTCGTGATCCGCCCACCTTGGCCTCCCAAAGTGCTGGGATTACAGGCGTGAGTCACCGTGCCAGGCCATTGTTTTACTTTATTTTATTTTATTTTATTTTATTTATTTTATTTTGAGACGGAGTCTCATCTGTCACCCAGGCTGGAGTGCAATGGCACAATCTCGGCTCACTGCAACCTCCGCCTCCTGAGTTTAAGCAATTCTCCTGCCTCAGCCTCCCGAGTAGCTGGGATTACTGGCGTCCGCCAGCACACCTGGCTAATTTTTGTATTTTTAGTAGCGACAAGATTTTGCCATGTTAGCCAGGCTGATCTTGAACTCCTGACCTCAAGTGATCCATCTGCCTTGGCCTCCCAAAGTGCTGGGATTACAGGCGTGAGCCACCGTGCCCAGCCTTGTTTTGTTTTTAAGAGACAGTCTTTCTCTGCCACCCAAGCTACGGTGCAGTGGCATGATTGTGGCTCACCGCAGCCCTGACCTCCTGGTCTCAAGCAATCCTCCTGCCCCAGCCTCCCTAGTAGCTAGAACTACAGGTGCATGCCACCATGCTCAGCTAATATTTTTTATTTTTGTAGAGACAGGGTCTCACTATGTTGTCCAGGCTGGTCTCAAGCTCCTGGACTCAAGCAACCCTCCCACCTTAGCTTCCCAAAGTGCAGGGATTACAGGTGTGAGGCACCATGCCCACCAGTTTATTTTTTAAACAAGGTGTTAATTTGCCTACAATTAACATAAAAAATAAAAGCAAAAATGAAATGGACAGAGTAAAATGAGGAAGTCTGAGATCCTGATGATCATACAAGGGTGGATGCGAACCATTATTATGGATTCCAGCTCTCTCATGTTAAACATCCTTAGGCACAAGCGCCTGCAGCCTTTCCCACCCCAGCGACCCAACCCTGTGCCTACTCACAGCTCACATGGTTTGAAATGGGTGTACCTTCGGTGTGCTAGAATAATGACGACCTTGGTTCACGACACGCTCCCTTCGTTGGCCCTTGCTTATTCTTTTTTTTTTTCTTTTTCTTTTCGAGTCGGAGTCTCGCTCTGTCACCCACGCTGGAGTGCAGTGGCGTGATCTCGGCTCACTGCAACCTCCGCCTCCTTGGTTCAAGCAATTCTCCTGTCTCAGCCTCCCATGTAGCTGGGACTACAGGCACCTGCCACCATGCCCAGCTAATTTTTGTATTTTTGTAATTTTAGTAGAGATGGGGTTTTGCCATGTTGCCCAGGCTGGTCTTGAACTCCTGACCTCAGGTGATGCACCCACCTTGGCTTCCCAAAGTGCTGGGATTACAGGTGTGAGCCACCATGCCCGGCCAGTGCTTATTCTTTTATTTTAGTGACCTATTTATATACCCATAAACCTACCCCTCATTTTAAGAACTAAGCCATTATTGAGAACCTCCTCTTCCTCTGAGTTCCCACCATGTTCTATTCTGCTGCCTCCCTTCCTCCCCTCTCCTGAGGGGTGTGTCTTTCTAAATTTTGTGTCTATAATTGCCTTACTTTAAAAAAGTAGCTTTATCCTCAATTTTGGGAATAGCCAATCTGCTTTTCAAGAACAACAAGGAAGAGGAACCTTTCCTAGCAGACATCAGTGTGGAATAGAGCTGGGAAACTTGACTAGCCACCCAATCTATGCTCACACCCTCCCAGTTCTCCATGCTGGTACCCCTCCTGGATTTCAGAGGTGCCAGAGAAGGCACCTGGCTGCCCTCAGAGAGTCCTGGAAACCACAGCCACAGAATAAACCAGGCAGACACAAAGTCTGATAGAGGGACAGTGTAAAAAACCATCCTAGGAGCTGGCAGGTTTATTTGGGGACAAGGAACATGGCTGCAGAGATGGGGATCCACACTGTGGATCCCAGAACATGACAGGATCACTCACCCAGTGGCAACCTCCCAAAGCTTCTTACAGGGGTAGCACAGCACAGCTGGGGACAGAATGACAGTCTTTTTTTTTTTTTTTTTTTTTTTTTTGAGACGGAGTCTCCCTCTGTCGCCCAGGCTGGAGTGCAGTGGCGTGATCTCGGCTCACTGTAAGCTCTGCCTCCCAGGTTCATGCCATTCTCCTGCCTCAGCCTCCTGAGTAGCTGAGACTACAGGCACCCACCACCACCCCTGGCTAATTTTTTGTATTTTTTAGTGGAGACGGGGTTTCACTGTGTTAGCCAGGATGGTCTCAATCTCCTGACCTTGTGATCCGCCTGCCTTGGCCTCCCAAAGTAACGGGATTACAGGTGTTTGTTAGCCACTACGCCCAGCCAGAATGACAGTCTTTAAATGAGATGTTTTCATCCTGCAGCATGGCCTCTGCCCTGAGTTTCTTGAGTTCTCTTCCACTGGGGTGTGCGAGGCACGGCTGGTACCTGGTCCCTGGGAATGCTGTCCAGGAGGAGCAGTGACAGTGCCAGAGGCTGCAGAGGCCATAGACAGCAGCCAGCATGGCAATCCCCAAGCCCAGGTGCCAGCAGAAGAAGATGATGAGGAAGGCCAGGTTCTTGTAGCTGACTGCTCACCAGGGCTGTCCGGTGGGGCGTACATCACTGAGGCTCCCTGAAGCAACCAGGAGCCAAGCAACAGGAGCACCCAGGCCTTGAGAACCCAGAGCTGGGGCTGGTCAGGGACCCAGACCTGGGGGAAGTCGGGGGAAGAGGATCTGCTGGCCCCACAGGAGGGCTCTGGACGCCATCACCACATAGTAAAGCCCCAAGTAATAGATGGTCAGTGCTGGAATCAGGTGTCCCAGGAAAGTGCCCATGCAGCAGCCGGCAGTCTGCTTAGGGGTGGAGGAGTGGGGATTATGAGTGACTGTCCCTACTAAGAGTTTGCCACCTCTGAACTGTCAGGGTAGTCCCTGCTGACCTGCCTCTGCGGCCCACACATGGGGCGGGCCCAGGTGCTGTGTAGGCCCAGGTCTATTTTCAGGTAGCTGAGAACTGGCTGGGCTCCTTCCTGCCCTGCAAAATATTGCCAACTATTCAGTGCTGAAACTGAGTCATCAAGAACTTGATAGAAACTGTTCTATCAAGCCAGCTCCTTCAGGATGATGGGGAACATGATAAGACCAGTGAATTACATGATCATGAGTCATTGCCACACTTCTTTTGTTGTAAAGTGTTTGGAAACAATGCTGTATGGAATTTCACTGGATAAGGCATACTTTAAGTTCACGGATGGTGGTTTTGGCAGAAGATTTGTGAGCAGGGTATGTAAATCTGTGTCCAGAGTAAGTGTCTATCCCAGCAAGAACAAAATGCTGCCTCTTCCATGATGGAAGTGGTCCAATGTAATCAACCTGCGACCAGATAGTAGGCTGGTCACCGTGGAGAATGGTGCCATATCATAGACTCAGTGTTGGTCTCTGCTGCTGGCAAACTGGGCACTCAGTGATGGCTGTAGCCAGGTCAGCCTTGGTGAGTGTTAGTCTACACTGCTGAGCCCATGCATCCTCCATCCCTGCCACAACAGTCACTTTCTTTTTTTTTGAGACGGTGTCTTGCTCTGTCGCCCAGGCTGGAGTGCAGTGGCCCAATCTCGGCTCACTGGAAGCTCCGCCTCCTGGGTTCAGGCCATTCTCTGGTTTCAGCCTCCCAAGTAGCTGGGACTACAGGCGCCCACCACCATGCCCGGCTAATTTTTTTTTTTTTGTATTTTTAGTAGAAATGGGTTTTCACCATGTCAGCCAGGATGGTCTCGATCTCCTGACCTCGTGATCCGCCTGCCTTGGCTTCCCAAAGTGCTGGGATTACAGGCGTGAGCCACCGCGCCCAGCCACAGACACTTTCGTTATGAGCCCATTAGGCAATGACAATGATAATGAGCCCATTAGGTCATCAGATGCTGATTGGTATCCATAGAACAAGTCATCCTATTTACTTGATTATTAATATCCTTCTCTGTTGAGGTTGCCTTTTGGTGGGCATTGACATGGGACACAAATGTCTTCAGGTTTTTTATCCATTCAGAGAGGTCTACCCATATATCTCTTTCTCAGATTTCCTTATCACCAATTTTTCCATTCATATTCTTTCTGAGTCCCTGACCATCCAGCCAAACCACTGGCCATAGTCTATAAATGGGTATATAATTGCATGTCTGACCATTTCTCCTTTGAAGCAAAGTGAACAGCCAGATGCACTGCTCAAATTTCTACCTGCTGGGAGGATTCCTCTTCATCACTGTCCTTCGGAGGTGTCCCAGAAAGGAACTATAGTGCTGCAATTGTCCACCATCAGGTGGTGCCTGCATATTCTGCAGCACCGTCTGGGAACCAGCCCCAAGTCTTCTCTTCCTCTGTCAACTGATGATAGGGAACTCCCCATGAGGCCATAGACATAGGCTGGGAGAGAGAAGGCAGGGTAGCAGGAGTGGAGGACCGTGGGCTTTTGGGCCAATTCTTCATGTAATTTACCAATGCCTACAGAGCTTTCTCAGGCCCAATCATGTATATACCACTTCCGTTTCATGATGGAGTATTGCTGTGCACACCCAAATTTATGGCTTGATGGGTCAGATAACATCCAGGTCATGATGGGAAGCTCAGGTAACTTGATGGCCCATGGTTAGGCACACAGTATCTATCTAAGGCCCAGTAACAGGCCAGGAGCCGTTTCTCAAAAGGAGAGTAATCTGTGAAGGATGGCAGAGTTTTGCTCCCAAATCCTAAGGAAATTCACTTGTAGGGGCCTGCCAAAGGCTCCAGAGAGCATCCCTATCTGCCACTGACATTTCACGCACCACTGGATCTGCTGGATCATATGGCCCAAGCAGCAGAGCAGCCTGCACAGCAGCCTGGACCTGTTGCATGAGCTACTGTGCCAGGCCTGGCTCTGTTTTTATGATTCAGATTAGACTTTTGTTAACTTGGCTTAGAACTTTTCTGCTTATACGGATCAAGTAATCAGTAGGCTTCCCATCTATTTCACTTCTAGGAACGCCATGCTTAACAGCCTGTGCCATTGGTCTGCAGGAGTTGGCAATTCAGCTGCTGTGACTCTGCTGTCCATCACCGTAACCATGTTCACCTCGCCTGTGGCAGTGGAGTGCTGCCACTTGGTCCCTGCGCCCTGAGATCCATGACTCCCATTACATTTAAGTTTCCAAATTCAGTGACTGCTGTAAGTTCTGCCTATGGAGACGAGGGATTACAAAGCTCTTTCAAGGTGCTGAGGCTCCATCACAAATTTATTTCTCACAGTATTGGTAAAAAGCAGGACTTCTGGCCTTTCCCAGTAGGTCTAGAAGATGTACTTTTATGTCTTAGTTGGTGAGTAGGTCTTAAATGACAAATCCCCGCGAACATCCCATCTTCCTACGCCTTTGAATCCATTCTACATTAAACCAAGTCATGTCCATCCACCATTTCCAGTTTGTTCATGGTGGGTCACCCTTTTTGTTTTCTTTTTGAGACGGAGTTTCACTCTTGTTGCCCAGGCTGTAGTGCAGTAGCATGATCTTGGCTCACTTCACCTCTGCCTTCTGGGTTCAAGTGATTCTCCTGCCTCAGGCTCCTGAGTAGCTGGGATTACAGGTGCCCACCACCACGCCCAGCTAATTTTTTGTATTTTTAGTACAGATGGGGTTTCACCATATTGGCCAGGCTGGTCTCAAACTCCTGACCTCAGGTGATCTGCCCACCTCAGCCTCCCAAAGTGTTGGGATTACAGGTGTGAGCCACAGTGCCTGGCCAACAGTGGGCCATCTTTGATCCACTCATCAGCCAACCAACCAAAAACTGTTAGAGCCTTTTCTTATTTTCTGAGCTGCAACATTAAAATGCAGGATCTCTGCTTAGTGAGCCCATGTCAATAAATTCACTCTGATACAACTTTATGTTTTTTCTTTTTCTTTTTTTAGTTTCTTTCTTTTCTTTTCTTTTTTTTTTTTTTTTTTTTGAGACAGAGTTTTGCTCTTGTTGCCCAGGCTGGAGTGCAGTGGCGTGATCTCAGCTCACTGCAGCCTTCACCTCCTGGGTTCAAGCGATTCTCCCGCTCAGCCTCCAGAGTAGCTGGGATTACAGGTGTGCACCACCATGCCAGGCTAATTTTGTATTTTTAGTAGAGATGGCAGTCTCACCATGTTGGCCAGGCTGGTCTTGAACTCCTGACTTCAGGTGATCCACCCGCCTCAGCCTCCCAAACTGCTGGGATTACAGGCGTGAACCACTGCACCCTGCTTGTTTTTTTTCACTATTATCTCACATCCTCAATATCCATTCCCATACATGTTCCCCAGATTTCTGTCTATAGAAATTAGAAAACTTAAGAAGTTCTTTTGAAGTATAGCACACCTCCTCACGGGTAACCTTTGTACCTCATCTGAGGGGCTTGCTGGGACTTGAGTCTAGACTTGAAGTCTAGAAGCAAAAAGGGGTGGTGGGGGTGGATCCTGAAGAGAATCAGCATTGTTTTGCAAAGGCAACTGACTCAAGGGAGGCCATCACAGTTTCCTCTGGCAATGCAGAGTCAGTTCGCCAGGTGGAGGTGGGGAGGCTACTTCCATGGCAAAGAAGACTCATAAGAATTTCGGGGCTCTGGCTGGGCGCAATGGCTCACCACACCTGCAATCACAGCACTTTGGGAGGCTGAAGCAGAAGGATTGCTTGAGGCCAGGAGTTCCAGACTAGACTGGGCAACATAGTGAGACCCCCATCTCCACACACACACACACACACACACACACACACACAATTAGTGGGCATAGTGTTGTGTGCCTGTAGTCCTAGTTACTTGGGAGGTTGAGGCAGGATTGTCACTTGAGCCCAGGAGTTCAAGGCTGCAGTGAGCTATAATTGCACCACTGCACCCCAGCCTGTGTGACAGAGCAAGACCTGCTCTCTCTCTCTCTTTTTTTTTTTTTTTTTTTTTTGGATTTTTAATAGAGATTGGGTTTCACCATATTGGCCAGGCTGGTCTCAAACTCCTGACCTCAGGTGATCTGCCCACAGTAGCCTCCCAAAGTGCTGGGATTGTAGGCATGAACCACTGTGCCTGGCCAAGACCTGGTCTCTTACAAAACAAAACAAAACAAAACAAAACAAAAAACCCCGAAAACTTAGATGTTCACTGTTCCCAGCTTCATCGTGTCTTCCTACACATCCCCACCCCATTCTTCCCCAGTCAACACCCTCACTTTCACAGCGACACCTGTTAAAGACACCTGCGAGGCTGGAAGTTCAGTCCATGTTGTAATCCAGCCAGTCACAGGATTCTCTGCCTGATTTTCAGTAATCTCAGCGCTTTGGTGACAGGAGATAAGGGTCTCCTTCAGGGCACATGTAGTAGCTTTTAGGTTATTTACACCGCGTTTGAACTAGGAATTTGAATCCCTGAACTCATTCTTTTCTTTCACCTCTTTGTCCAGTGACTCTAGGAGCAAGTAGCCAACCTTGTTATATTCATTAGTTTTTCAAAAAGGTTAGAAAGTATCTTATATATAGTCACCCAGCTCCTGGCTTCTTATAAGTGGTTGATTAGGTGTATCCAGTGGGAATATTTTGCATATTTCCATTGTCAGATCATGCCATGGACGACTAGTGCTCTCTTTCTTACTGGAAACAGAGTTGTTAGTCTCTTTAAATTTAATCAGACTAGAGAGACAATGCCAGAAATCTTAGAACCAATTCAGAAAGCTCATTCTTAAAATTGTTTCTCACGGGAGGCTGAGGCAGGAGAATCGCTTGAACCCAGGAGGCGGAGGTTGCAGTGAGCCGAGATCATGCCACTGCACTCCAGCCTGGCGACAGAGCGAGACTCCATCTCAAAAAAATAAATATATATATATCTTTAAATATATACATATAATATATATTTAAATATATACATATAATATATATACACATATTTTATACACACACACACACACACACACACACACACACACATATTTTTTTGAGCGGAGTCTTGCTCTGTCGCCCAGGCTGGAGTGCAGTGGTGCTATCTCAGCTCACTGCAAGCTCTGCCTCCTGGGTTCAGGCCATTCTCCTGCCTCAGCCTCCCAAGTAGCTGGGACTACAGGCACCCGCCACCGCGCCTGGCTAATTTTTTGTATTTTTAATAGAGACAGGGTTTCACCATGTTAGCCAGGATGGTCTCGATCTCCTGACCTTGTGATCTGCCCTCCTCGGCCTTCCAAAGTGCTGGGATTACAGGCGTGAGCCACCGTGCCCAGCCATATATATATATATTTTTGAGACAGGGTCTCCCTCTGTCAGCCAGGCTGGAGTGGAGTGCTGTGATCATAGCTCATTTCAACTGTGAACTGTGCACAGGTGATCCTCCTGCCTCAGCTTCTTGAGTAGCCAGGACTAGAGGCATGCACCACCGTGTCTGGCTAATTTTTAAAATTATTTGTAGAGATGGAAGTATACAGCTATGTTGCCCAAGCTGATCTCAAACTCTTGGCCTCAAGTGATTCTCCTACCTTGGCCTCCCAAAGTGCTGGGATTACGGATGTGAGCCACCATGTTTGGCCCTAAAATCTTTATGAGTCAGAGTTCTCCAGAGGAACAGAACCAATGGGAGACAGATAATAGATATATACATATGGAGGCTGAGAAGATCCACCATCTATCATTGCAAGCTAGAGATGTGGAAAAACTGGTGGTGTAGTTCCAGTCTCAGTCTGGAAGCCTGAGAAGCAGGAGAGCCAGCGGTGTGGGCTCCAGCACAAGTCTGAAAGCCTGAGAACAAGAGGGCTGATGGTGTACGTTCCAAACTGAGTCTGAAAGCCTGCGAACCAGGAGCACTGATGTGAGACCCAGTCTGAGGGCAGGGGAATACCATTGTCCCAGCTCAAACAGTCAGGTTGAGAGTGAATTCTCCCTTCCTCCACCTTTTTGTTTTATTCAGGTCCTTGGCAGAGTGGATACTGTCCACTCACATTGGGAAGGGCCATCTGTGTACTCAGTCCATTGATTCAAACACTAATCTCCTCCTTAAGCCCCCTCATAGACACACCCAGAGATAATGTTTAACCAAATACCTGGGCACTCTGTGACCCAGTCAAATTGCTGTATAAAATTTACCATCATGGCGCGGTGGTTCACGCCTGTAATCCCAGCACTTTGGGAGGCCAAGGCAGGGCAGATCACGAGGTCAGGAGATCGAGACCATCCTGGCTAACATGGTGAAACCCCCTCTCTACTAAAAACACAAAAAATTAGCCAGGCATGGTGGCACGCACCTGTAGTCCCAGCTACTTGGGAGGCTGAGGCAGGAGAATAGCTTGAACTGGGGAGGCAGAGGTTGCAGTGAGCCAAGATTGTGCCACTGCACTCTGGCCTGGGAGACAGAGCGAGACTCCATCTCAAAAAAAAAAAAAAAAAAAATTAACCATCACAACAAGTCTCAGCAGCCTTCATGTTAAATAGATCCTTCTGTGGGAGAGATGTCAGATGGCTCTAGATATATCTGAGTTTTCGCTCTAGAGAAGTCAGAAACTATGCTGTATCTTACAGATATAGATATAGGGGATTTAAGGTTATGTAGTTGGGTTGATACCAGACATGATTTTTAAAATCCTTTTTCTTTCTTATTTAATTTATTTCTCACAACTCATGACCTAATCAAATATAGTTTCCATTTAAATTACAAATGACTTTTCATTAAAATTACAAAGCATATAATTTTTGCGCTAAATATAAAAACCTATCATTTTGAGCAGATTGCAAGGAACGCAAACATCCAGGGTCCTCAATGACTTTTCCTGCTGACCCTCTCAATTACTGCTGAATTGTTCATGGTTTGCACCAAGCTGGAGTTAATGTAACTATCTTACCCTTTCCATCCGACAGTGAAAGTGCTTAAAACCTTTCTGGGCCTTTAATTAGATTTGTCAACATACACACATGTTGCTGCAATTCTAATTATCCTAGAAAAACTAATACAAATCATGATAGCACTCCTATGTGCCAAGGCACTGTGCTAAGCACTTTACATATCTACTAACTCATTTAATTCTTCACAACACTCCCTTTGATCCCTCTTTTATAGATGAGCAAGTGAAGCACAAACCTGCCCAAATCATTGGTTAGCGGGGACCTCACCTGGGCTATTCTCTGCTAATTCTGGGGAAAGGTTTCCCATGCCTACCCTTCATGAGTTTCTGTATCCTTCCCCATCTGCAAGAAGAACATAGCTCCAAATATGCTACATCAGCTGGTGACTGTGTTTCAGTCACAATCTGTTTTTTTTTTTTCTGCCAACCTTTTCTTCTGAAAAATTCCTGATCCCATTTTAGAAGTGACCTGCCATGATGCCAACCACCTGGTGTCCTCTAGTGTGGGGACATCTGGCGCCTAGCTCACACCCAGAGGGAGTGAACCAAACCTTGGTGGGCTGCTAGGGGTGACACCCAGGCACATCCTTGGGGATCCTTGTCCCAGAAAAGGGCTCAGTCCAGGTTGGGCACCGTCAGGGGTCGTCAGGAAACAGCTGGGAGGATTTCATCAGATCCCCTCTTAGCACATGGTTGCAGCAGTTAATAATGAGAGGGAGAATTGGCTGGCCTGGAGGCCAGCAGAGTCTTCTGGGACTCTGGAGAGCCTCACCCCAAGGAACAGCCCAGTTTGGTCCATATGAAGGTCCTAGAAACCATAAGGTCTGCATTTGGAGCAGCAGTAGTAGAGGCAACGTTTTCTCTGAGCTCCTCCTGTCCTGAGAGGCAAGACCTGTCTTCCTACACCATGCCCCAGTCCCCGGCCCACTCACTGGGTCTTGGCTCTACCTTCTTGCTCCTTCTCTGTGCACTCCCTCACCCCCACTCTGTGCAGGGACCTGCCTGGAACAGACACTGGCTTTGAGTTCTTGACATCTAGTAAAGACAACCCATGAGCACGTAAAAGCCTCACAATACAGAGCAGGATTAATAAGAACAAAATGCAAAGCAAGTGGAGATCAAGGAGGAAGATATTCCCAGCTGGGGAGTCACAGCAGACCTCATAGAGGAGGGGGCGTTTGAATTGAACTGTGAAGGTCCAGACATTGCAAGAGGAGGGCCTGGTGTGGGAAATCACAAGAGGAGAATATGGTTCAGTGAGGCTGAAGCAAGGTGCACGATGAGTGGATGGCGCTGGACTGGCAGGTCTGGGCAACTTGGATAGGGCCTTAACTGTTGGACTACCCATCTCTATGGGGTTGCGAGCTCAAGCTCAGGGGTGAGAGATGGCCTGGACTGTTATCTCGTCTAATTTCTGTTACATATAACAGAATACTTGAAACTGGGTAATTTATTTTAAAAAGGAATTTATTTCTTACAGTTATGAAGACTGAGAAGTCCAAGATCAAGGAGCCGGATCTGGCGAGAGCCTTCTTGTTGGTGGGGACTCTTTGCAGAGTCCTGAGGTGGCACAGGGCATCACATGGTGAGGGGCTGAGTGTGCTAGCTCAGGTGTCTCTTCCTCTTCTTATAAGGCCACCAGCCCCACTCCCATGATAACCCATGAATCCATTCATCCACAAATGGATTAATCCAGTCATAAGGGCAGAGCCTCATGACCCAGTCACTTCTTAAAGGCCCCACCTCTCAACACTGTCATTTGGAGATTAAGTTTCAACATGAGTTTAGGAGGGGATTAACATTCAAACCATAGCAGCAGGGACTGTAACAAGTGAGCTGTCTCCAGGGCCATGCCTGGCAGCCTCTATTGGGAGCCTATTTCTGTGCCCTCCCTTGCCGTGTGCATCAGGTGAATAGGGGTGAGGGATGTCTAATGTTGAAAGGGACCTGGGGTGGAGGAATAGATCACAGGTCAAGGGGAAGGGGAAATTGGAGGGGAGAAAGCATGTGTGTAGGTCTCTTCTGGGACCAGGTGAACAGCCAGCCAGATGCTCAAGTCAGAAACTAGGGCATCATCCTGGGCTCCTCCCTTCCTTCACTCCTGTATTAGTTTGTTTTCATGCTGCTAATAAAGACATACCTGAGACTGGGTAATTTATACAGAAAAGAGGTTTAATGGACTCACAGTTCCACATGGCTGGGGAGGCCTCACAATCATGGCAGAAGGCAAGGAGGAGCAAGTCACATCTTACATGGATGGCAGCAGGCAAAGAGAGAGCTTGTGCAGGGAAACTCCCCCTTATAAAACCATCGGATTTCATGAGACTTATTCACTATCACAAGAACAGCATGGGAAAGACCTGTCCCCATGATTCAATTACCTCCTACCGGGTCCCTCCCACAACATTCAAGAATTGTGGAAGCTACAATTCAAGATGAGATTTGGGGCCAGCGCAGTGGCTCACAGCCTGTAATCCCAGCACTTTGGGAGGCTGAGGCAGGTGGATCACCTGAGGTCAGGAGTTCGAGACCGGCCTGGCCAACGCTATCTCTACTAAAAATACAAAAATTAGCTAGGCATGGTGGTGCGTGCCTGTAATCCCAGCTACTCAGGAGGCTGAGGCATGAGAATCATTTGAACCTGGGAGGCAGATGTTGCAGTGAGCCAAGATTGTGCCACTCACTCCAGCCTGGGTGATGGAGCAAGACTCCATCTCAAAAAAAAAAATAAAAAGAAGATGAGATTTGGGTGGGGACACAGCCAAACCATATCAACCCCTCATGGTCAATTGCTCACTGTGTTCACCCAGTTCTACCTGCTATGGGGTTATTTGGACTTTCCTCTCCATTCCACCACCCCAACTTGGTTCTCTCCTGGACCATTGCAGCATCATCTTGACTCTTCCTCACTTCATCTCCTGGCTTTTCTCTTCCATAGAGAGGTCTTGTTAATATTCACATCTCATCATGTCATTTCCCTGATGAACATTCTTCAAGTTCCCTGTGTCAGCTGCAGGTGGAATCTGAACTTCTTTTTTTTTGAGACAGAATCTTGCTCTTGTTGCCCAGGCTGGAGTGCAATGGTGCAATCTTGGCTCACCGCAACCTCTGCCTCCCAGGTTCCAGCGATTCTCCTGCCTCAGCCTCCTGAGTACCTGGGATTATAGGCGTGCACCACCACACCTGGCTAATTTTTGTATTTTTTCAGTAGAGATGGGGTTTCTCCATATTGTTCAGGCTGGTCTCGAACTGCTGACCTCAGGTGATCCACCTGCCTCAGCCTCCCAAAGTGCTGGGATTACAGGCATGAGCCACCGTGCCCGGCCCAGAATCTGAACTTCTGTGGCCAGGCAGAAAAGGTCCTGTGTTACTCGTCTCCTTTATCATTCATGTCCATATTCTCCCATTTGCTAACATTTATGTTTCTGCTCCACTGGATTCTTTGGATTTTTCTAGAACATACCCATGCTTTGCATTGCCTTGGTCTTTGAATATTTGGTCCACTTTTCCTGCAAAGTCCCCTCTCACCTTATCTTCCTGGTAAACTTCCAGCCAACACCTCTTTACTAACCAGAGAAACATGGTTCAACTGTGCACAGGCTTGCACAGAAACTGTTCTCATATTGTCTTGTCATTGTCAATGTGGCAGAGATGCACCTTAGATACCTCTTTGAGAAAGGACTCACTGCCCAGCTGCCTGGCACATGATGAGCTGATAGCTCCAGCTATAGACTCCTTTAGGGTCAACCTCTGCTTTCCAGTTGAGATCATATCCTTTGCAGGGTGGCCTCCCCAGTGATGACTAAGGCAGTGTTACAATGGCCTGGTTATTTCCTCCCAATGCTGGACTCCCAATGAACCATCTGCTCCGGAGCTTCCCACTGGGCAGTCAGAGACCTTAGCTAGTCTGCCTCCGAATCAGAGGGCTCTCTCTGCCCACTCTGGCTTCCGCCTCTTTCTTTTCACAAGTCCTACTCCCCAGTGAAAGTTTTGAATTCCTAACTCCATCTCAGCATCCATTTTGTTTTTTGTTTGTTTGTTTTTTTCCTTTTTTTTGTTGAGACGGAGTTTCACTTTTGTTGCCCAGACTGGAGTGCGGTGGTGCGATCTCCGCTTACTGCAACCTCTGCCTCCCAGGTTCAAGCGATTCTCCTGCCTCAGCCTCCTGAGTAGCTGGAATTACAAGCATGCACCACCATGCCTGGCTAATTTTTGCATTTTTAGTAGAGACGGGGTTTCACCACGTTGGCCAGGCTGATCTCGAACTCTGACCTCAGGTGATCCACCTGCCTCAGCCTCCCAAAGTGCTGGGATTACAGGTGTGAGCCACTGCGCCTGGCTCTTTTTTTTTTTTTAGGATGGAGTTTCACTCTATTGCCCAGGCTGGAGTTCAATCTCGGCTCACCACAACCTCCACCTCCAGGGTTCAAGCAATTCTCCTGCCTCAGCCTCCCGAGTAGCTGGGATTACAGGTGCATGCCACCATGCCCAGCTAATTTTTGTATTTTTAGTAGAGATGGGGTTTCACCATGCTGGCCAGGCTGGTCCCGAACTCCTGACCTCGTGATCCACCCGCCTTGGCCTCTCATAGTGCTGGGATTACAGGTGTGACCCACCGTGCCAGGCCTATGGGTTTTCAATAGTGGTCCAAGAAAGTAGTTGGTAAGACGGGGTTTGGGGGCTGGATCACTCCACCACCAACTGGCAATGAGGCCACGCCCCAGGAGTTAAGTGAGCATGGAAAGTCCCCAGCACATGTTGGTGGCCCTATTGTTAAACATTTCACTGATGCTGACGTGGGAGAATGTACCAGTGAAGGGGAATGAACTGGCTTATGTGATAAGTCAGGCATTTGAAAGGTACACAGGGGAGAAAAACATTCTATACAATATGGATATTATATGATGTATAATATATATGAATATAGAATATATGAATTATAGATAGATACATGGAAATGAACAATTGCATTGGTGATCTACAGACACATAATGAAAAGCTGAGGGCAATTAACAAACAATTGAAAACTAAGTGTGAAAGCCAGAGGATTTCTTTGGCAGCTGATGAAGAATCCTTCATGTCCTCTGCTCGGTGAAGAAAAGGAACTGAAGATGAAGCCATGAGTTAATAGAGTGGCTGCACTCCAAAGATGGCTGAATGCTCTAGTGATTCAGATCTCTGGGACCCCGACACATGGGATGGGACCTCGAGGTGGGTGCCCCTGAACATTCTGAAGCCCTGAGCTTCTCTGGCTCTCAGAACCTGCAGAGGTGGCTCATCCCCTACACATGAGAGTACTCCCTCCTCCTCTGTGTTGGGGGACAATGCAGAGGTCTTTTTCTTTTTTTTTTTTTGAGATGGAGTCTCACTCTGTCGCCTGGCTGGAGTGCAGTGGTGTGATCTCGGCTCACTGCAACCTCCACCTCCTGGGTTCAAGCGATTCTCCTGCCTCAGTCTTCCTCAGTAGCTGGGACTACAGGCACGTGCCACCACGTCCAGCTAATTTTTGTATTTTTAATACAGGGTTTCACCATGTTGGTCAGGATGGTCTTGATCTCTTGAGCTTGTGATCCGCCCTCCTTGGCCTCCCAAAGCACTGGGATTACAGGCCTGAGCCATGGCACCCGGCCTGACAAGGCAGAGGTCTTTCCCCTACAAGGCAACAGGTGTCCCTAGGCAGCTGCCTTCACCTCATCTTCTGGCTGCTAGACTTAACTCCTGGGGTGTGGCCCTCATTGCCAGTGGGTAGCTAGACTTTACTACTGGGTTAAATCGTTGCGTAGTTTGCCTGGGGATATGCTAGTTGGATACAGGAGGAAAGGTGCTATATTCCAAAGGAGCTGTAAGATCTAGTCAACAGGTGCCAGCAGAGGCTGTGGGAGTACTTGTGGGCCTGGATTCTGAGAGCTTCATGGGACTGGAGAAGGGAGCTATAAGGCACAGGATTTAACCCCCTGGTAAGGACCCCAGGGAGGGTGCAAGATAACTGCTAGGGTGGTTCATTGAAGCCTGGACAAAGTGGCAGGTCAAGCTGAGTGAGGTTGAAATATCTGAATTGCCGGGGAAGAGGGCAGAGAAAGGGATCAAAAGCCTTGGGAAAGTGGGTGGGCATTTGGAATGGAGGCAGTATGTTAGGCAAAAGAGAATAGGATTCTATGGGGAGACAGGGGAACACACCATTTGCCACGGTCATGACTAGGTTGTTCAGTGGTGGCCCTCCCCTGCAGGCCAGGACTGATGCTGGGAGAGGCAGGCACAGAACTTGGTTTGCTGATTGTACTGGAGAGGATAGGGCTGGGGCAATAGAGAGCAGGGCGCAGCACTTAGCGGTCAGAAGACAGGGGTCAGAACAACTGTAGCAGCAGAGAAGGTCAGAGTGATAATTACAGAGGTTTGATGTTCAGACAGTTATGGAGATGGCTAAGAGAACACAGTGTCTCCAGTGGAAAAGTAGACAAGCAGCCCAAAGGGAACTGTTATGTATAGAAGTACAGTTGGCCCTCTGTATCCATAGATTCTGCATCTGTGGATTCAACCAATTGTGGGTGGAAAATATATATATATTTTAAATTTTGTGTGGTTGAGTGCAGTAGCTCACACCTGTAATCCCAGCACTTTGGGAGGCCGAGGCAGGAGGATTGCTGGAGACCAGGCATTCAAGATCAGCCTGGGCAACATGGTGAGACCCTGTTGCCACAAAAGATTGAAAACAAAAATTCATCTGCACCGAACATGTACAGACATTTTTTGTTCTTGTCATTATTCCCTTAAAAATACAGTATAACTACTATTTACATAGCATTTACATTATATTAGGTATTATAAGTACTCGGGATTATTTAAAGTATTCAGGAGGATGTGTGTAGGTGTGTGCAAATACCGTGCCTTTTTTTTTTTTCTTTTTTTGAAACAGAGTCTCACTCTGTCGCCCAGGCTAGAGTGTAGTGGCGTGATGTCAGCTCACTGCAACCTCCGCCTCCCAGGTTCCAGTGATTCTCCCGCCTCAGCCTCCCAAGTAACTGGGATTACAGGTGCCCACCACCACGCCCAGCTAATTTTTGTATTTTTAGTAGAGACGGGGTTTCACCATGTTGGCCAGGCTGGTCTCTAACTCCTGACCTCGAGATCCACCCACCTCGACCTCCCAAAGTGCTGGGATTACAGGCATGAGCCACCATGCCTGGCCAATACTGTGCCATTTTATTATCAGGGACTTGAGCATCCATGGATTTTGGCATCCATAGGGGTCCTGTAACCAATACTGCACAAATACCAAGGGACAACTGTATTCAAAAAAGACCAAAAATTAATAAGCAGGAGGCTGAGGGTAGTTGCCCCAATAAAGTCATGATCCCTTGCCCAGTGTCTGAACCTCAGCCAGTTTTCAGACTCAGGACCTATTGGCTGCAGAGGTGGTTGGAACCATAGGAGAATCCTGCAATATCATGGCAAGTATGCACTTTAATGATATCTGCAGTCCTTCCCCAAAAGGACCTTACATTTACCATAGTGCTATGTCCTGGGTAAAAGAGTAATACTCAGATTTTTTTTTTTTTTTTTTTAGACAACGTCTTACTGTGTTGCCCAGGCTGGAGTGCAGTGGCGCGATCTTGGCTTACTGCAACCTCCATCTCCTGGGTTCAAGTGATTCTCCCACCTCAGCCTCTGGAGTAGCTGGGATTACAGGTGAGCACCACCACACCTGGCTAATTTTTGTATTTTTATTAGAGATGGGGTTTCACCATGTTGCCCAGGGTGGTCTTGAACTCCTGACCTCAAGTGATCCACCTACCTCTGCCTACCTAAGTCCTGGGATTACAGGCATGTGTCACCACGCCCAGCCAAGATAATATTCAGATATTTCAAGGACAGTTGGACACAGAGTCTGAGTTGATGTTGCTGTCCAGAGGCCTGAAGTGTTATCATGGTGCCTCTGTTAGTTTAGAGCATATGGAGTCCTGGCCAAAAACTCTGCTTACAGGGGGGTTATGATGTTCATAGACTCATCTGATGGCCTGTGGAACAGAGATTGACAAACTTGGTAGTTGGGGTAACCTCCACATTGGAACCTTTGCCTATAGGTTAAGTGCCATGAGAGCGGTAAAGCCCAGACACAATCCTCTGAAACTGCCACTGACCAGCCAGAATAAAAACACAAAACAGTAAAAAAACAGTATATCAAAAACAGTATCTATCACATTCTGAGGGGAAAGGTGGAAATGAATGCCATACTTAAGAATCTGAAGGCTGCAGAGATGCTGGTCCTCATCTTATCTTCACATAATCAACAGTCTGGCCCCTGTTCGTCGTAGTGATAAGTGAGCCCCATTTGGGTACCAAGACCTCTGACTTTGTGGAGCCCAGAGGTGCAGGGATGGGAAGCACGAGTTCACCCAGGGGGTCATTGGGAGTGATGGCAAATGAGCCACTCTTACTTTTTTTCTTAAGAAACTCACAGTCTACACTCCTGCTTTTTAACTCCTTTGTTCCTAGGTCCATCTGTTCTTCCTACTGAGGTTGTAGCAACATATAAAGGTTTCTGATCCAGTTAGCATTCTGTGCCCTGGAGGATGGTGCCTCCAAGCCAGCACTCCAACTGTGCCACCAACAAGTCATTCCAAAGAGCTAGCATGCCGGCAGCTTCTGATGGTGTGGCAGGTGAGACCACCAGTGATCTCATGATCATGGCCTTACTTTGCTGTAAAGGGAATTCCCTGGTCAGATGCTGCATTAACTACACGTCCTCATCTTTTGTATTCTTGGTGTTCTGGCATTTGGGATCTTGATCCTGCCTCTCTCAGGGCTAGCTAACTCCTAGAAATAGCAAACAACCTCCCTGCAAGCACGTCCTTGATAGGAAAACCAACCAATCCAAGTCCACATCCCCAACCGTGTCCTTTATCAAATTCTCATATATCAAGCCAATATTCCCCCGCCCTAAATCACCCCAGGGCCGTGTACCAAACAATTGGGGATCACTCTTTTTTTTTTTTTTTTTTTCAGACAGCGTCTTCCTCTTTTGCCCAGGCTGGAGTGCAGTGATGCGATCTCAGCTCACTGCAAGCTCCGCCTCCCGGGTTCACGTCATTCTCCTGCCTCAGCCTCCCGAGTAGCTGGGACTACAGGCGTCCGCCACCACGCCCAGCTAATTTTTTGTATTTTTAGTAGAGACAGGGTTTCACCGTGTTAGCCAGGATGGTTTCGATCTCCTGACCTCGTGATCCGCCCGCCTCGGCCTCCCAAAGTGCTGGGATTACAGGCGTGAGCCACCGCGCCCGGCAGGGATCACTCTTTATAGCCCAGGGCCTGCCAAAACGATTTCATCTCTCCAATCCTGGACTCAGCATACCTACCCTGCCTTGTCTGCTACTCTCCATGAGAACCCCCATAGAGGCTCCGGGCTGCGCTCTGCCCTCACCTCTCTTTTGCCTCCTGATCAATCCCAGTCCTTCTTCACGTGGCCGTGCATGGTGTGCTGTGCCTCCTGTTTCCAGGATCTGTGAGGATAGACTTCCTTCTTCATTACAGTCATTTCCACGTCTGCATATTTGGCCATATCTGGTTAATACGAATCCTGGGTACATTTGCATAACAGATGCTCTGTTGTGTGGGATGACATGCCTGTGAATCAGGCATTCCATAAGCCTTTGGATAGCAGTGCTGGTTGAGACCTTATGGGAAAGAAAGGCAAACTTATACCCAGAATAGATGTCTATTCTCGTGAGAAAAAACTGCTGACCTTCTAGGATAGAAGGGTTCCAGTGAAGACAACTTGCCACCATGTGGCTGGTTGGTCTCTTTAAGAAGTAGTGCCATACCACAGGCTTAGCATGGATCTCTGTGCTGGCAGATTGGACATGCAGAGGCAGCAAGAGCTGGACTGACCTTGTTAAGTGGGAATTCATGGTGTTGGGCCCATACATAGCCTCGGTCATTGCCCATTGTGCTGGGACCGGGGTAGGCACTGACAAAGGCTGGCTACTGTCAACTGGCTGAGTCATTTTGTCCACTGAAGGCCTGGCCACTTCCATGGTGGATGCTTTCTTGGACCACTCCCAGTTCCAAATGTTTGGTTGAGCTCTTTAGAAAGCAGGTGTGAGACAGAGTTAGGCAGCAGACATTTGATTGAGGAGTAACACCTGTGAAGAAAAGGAGTAAAGCAAGATTGGGCGAGGGGAGGCTCAGATGGCCATGCAAATAAGACAAAATCTCTGCCAGCCCAGTGGGGCGGCTCCAGGCAAAGACTGGTAAAGGCTAGGCCCTTGGACTGCCACTGTGCTCAGTTATGGGCTGGGGCTTGCTCCCAAAATAGGGTGACCTTGGCTCCAACACTGAGGCAGATCCTGACAAAGCCAACAGCTGGAGGCTGCCTGCCAACCACACTCCTTGCAGCTGGGCAGCACATCTTTCCTCAAAGGAGGGTCTGGACAGGACATTTTCCTTGTTACCAGGGGCTCAGACTCATCAAGAATGAGGGCTAGGGTCACCCCACAGCTAGACCATGAGGGCCGACAGAGGTGGGAGCTGAGGGCAGGGCAATTTAGAAGGAATAGCGGAGGGAGCCAAGCACCAGTGGTGGCCCTGAGGCCAGTAGCAGTGAATGAGGTCTCTATTTCATGCTCGTAACTTCCCTCTTGTACAGAGGCCCCCCAGATCCCTGGGGGAGCTGCTCCCCACATGTGTCCACATTACCGTGACATGTGGACTGTGGCAGACATGGGGCTGCTCTGCTCCATTCTCCTTTGAGAAAGTATTGCTGCCCAGCCGCGAGGAGTGTGATGAGTTGACAGCCTCAGCGTCTGGGCTGGTGTTCAAGGTCAGCTGCAGCTTTTGAGCTGAGATCATGCTCTTCGAGGGGTGGCCCCAGCCAGAGACTGAGCTTGATGATAAGGGCCTGGCTGCTTCTGCCCTGTGAACGACTCTTCTAACAGAAAGTCTTGGACACCTTTGTTCCAGGGCTCCCCTGGGGCCGGCCAAGCTTTGTCACATCTGCACTGTGGTCTGGCAGCTCCCTGCCCCACCCACCTTTCCTTCCCTTTCCTCTCAGAGGCGTTGCTTACCAATGAGGCGTGGGTATTCCTGACTCTGTCTCAGCCTCTGCTTCTCAGAGAACTCCGCTGACACAGTCTGCATGGCACAGTCCTCTCTGATCTCGGAGGACACCTGTCTTTTTTTTTTTTTGAGACTGAGTCTCGCTCTGTCTCCCAGGCTAGAGTGCAGGGGCGTGATCTCGGCTCACTGCAACCTCCACCTCCCGGTTTCAAGCGATTCTCCTGCCTCAGCTTCCTGAGTAGCTAGGATTACAGGCACGCACCACCATGCCCGGCTACTTTTTGTATTTTTAGTAGAGACGGGGTTTCACCATGTTGGTCAGATTGGTCTTGAACTCCTGACCTTGTGATCCACCTGCCTCAGCTTCCCAAAGTGCTGGGATTACAGGCGTGAGCTACCGCACCCAGCCAGACACCTGTCTTAACAGCACGTGTTTCCTACATGTTTGTGGTCTGACCTACTGACCAGCTGAACGCCCAGCTCAGCTGGGTGTGAGTATGTTCTCTAGAGTATGGGACCAGAATTCCGAGTACGTTCTCTAGAGTATGGGACCTGCGGGCCACTGGGTGGGAAATAAACAGGAGACGCCCAGGCCCCAGCAGCCAGAGGGTTTTCTTGTGAGTTTGTGATTCTCAGGGACAGCTTTTTGGCTGGAGGACTTTGGCTGTCAGGTGTGGACTCTGCCGTGTGGACTCCATGTGGGCCTGGTTGTCTCCACACCACATCCTCCCCTGCTTCCCTAAGGGTCAGATGAAGAAAGAGAGACTTCTAGACTAGGTTCCAGGGACTGAGACAGCAAGTGGTCACAGAGCCCAGCACCTCCAAAACAGGAGCTGCACTCGGAGAGCAGCTGGTGCCCCCAGAGACCAACAGCAAGGGGCAGTGTTTCAAGGAGTGTTGGGGGCCGAAGAGCCCTTCCTGGGTCACTCTTCCATTAAGACTGAAAGTAGGGGACTGGGCGCAGTGGCTGATGCCTGTAATCCCAGCACTTTGGGAGGTCAAGGCGGGTGGATCACCTGAGGTCAGGAGTTCGAGACCAGCCTGGCCAACATGATGAAACCCCATCTCTATGAAAAATATGAAAATTAGCTAGGCACGGTGGCACGTGCCTGTAATCCCAGCTACTCAGGAGGCTGAGACAGTAGAATCACTTGAACCCGGGGGGCAGAGGTTGCAGTGAGCTGAGATCACCCCATTGCACTCCAGCCTGGAGAACAAGCGTGAAACTCCTTCTCAAAAAAAAAAAAAAAAAAAGACTGAAAGTAGGGAGGGCAGGGATGGGCCCTTTTATCAGTGGCCTTTATGGTTACAGAGGGGGCTCCAGGGAGAAGACTAAACAACCTTCCTCAGCCTCCGCAGCCTCCGCAGGCAAAGCATAGACACCCTTTCCCAGCAAGAGGAGTGAGGCTCACTCCCAGTGACCTGCATCCTACTTGGCCGTTGATTTTGTGTGTGTGTGGAGTCGGGGGGGGTCTCATTATGTTGCCCAGGCTGGTCTCGAACCCCTGGCATCAAACAATCCTCCCACCTCAGCCTCTTGAAGTGTTGGGATTACAGCAGGAGCCACCATGCCCAGTAATTTTTGTCACTTGTTCTATTAGGGGAAATCATGTGAAACCGCTATTTTTATAAGTTGAAAAAACAGTGAAATACTGCCAATTTTGTATATGCTTAATATATAGAGCTGAATTTAAGTTAGGAATAGGTATTCCCAGTTTAGGGTATCTATTTATGAACCTTTCCCGTAGCCGCCATTCCTGGAGCGCCTCCTACAGGTCAGCCACCAAACAGAGCACTTACCATGTGTGTCTGATTGTATTCTCACAGCAGCCCGGAGTATGCACAATTATTATCCCCATTTTACAGGTGAAGAAAGAGAGGCACAGAGAGACCAGGAACACACAGCTAGTGAGTGACAGAGGTGGGACGTAGACCTACATCTCTCTGAACTGTGAACCTGTGTCTCTGACCCTGGTGCACGCTGCTCTCCCAGGGTCCTCTGTGTAGCCTCCCGGGGACGGAGCGGGGAGTGAGCACTGGAATTTGGGTTAAAGAACCTATTCAGGGCTGGGTGCGGTGGCTCACGCCTGTAATCCCAGCACTTTGGGAGGCCGAGGCAGGTGGATCACCCGAGGTCAGGAGTTCAAGACCAGCCTGGCCAACATTGTGAAACCCCATCTCTACTAAAAATACAAAAATTAGCTGGGCGTGTTGGCAGGCACCTGTAATCCCAGCTACTTGGGAGGCTGAGACAAGAGAATCGCCTGAACCCAGGAGGCAGAGGTTGTAGTGAGCCGAGAGCTGAGATCACACCACTGCACTCCAGCCTGGGAGACAGAGCGAGACTCTGTCTCAAAAAAAAAAAGAAAGAAAGAAAGAAAGAAAACCTATTCAGAGAGCTCTGGACCAAGTGGCCCCTATGTGACAATCAGGGTCAAAGATAGACTTTTTGGCGTCTAAAGCGGATATAATTTGTGGGACCCTCTTTAGGAAAGATGATATGAAAAATCTTAGTTTTGCAAATTTTGCACAAAATATATGTCCATAATGAGCATTTTGCTACGACTGCTCCCTGGCTTTAGAAGGGACTTGTGTAAGGGAGGGATCCTGAAGCTTAAGCTACATTATCCAGGTTCTGACATGCAGAGGGTCCGGGGTCCGCTGGTCTGTGTGTATAAAACCTTAACTCCTTGTTGGCCATGTCCTTGGCAAAGGGAACCGCTGCTTCCTGTCGTGGCCACCAGGTGGAGGCGCTCCCTTGGGAACTGTTTGCAGAGGTGCCTCACCCTCCCAGTTCCCTTCCTTGGCATTCTCTGCACCAGTGTGGCTCCCCGCTGTTACCCTCAGGGCCACCTCTGATCTGAGGGAGGAGTGGTCGCTGATGAGGCCTTGTCTGCATCCTGTGGCCTCCCCTTGCAAAGAATAACTCGCAGGGAAAGGAAAGTACAGCAGCTGGAGGCAGCATGTGGATTCTACCTGCATTATACCAAGGAGGAAACTTTTGTTCCCCCAGGCATCCCTGACCTTATAGAAAATTCCACAAGTTAAAAGTAGGTAGGCCGGGTATGGTGGCTTATGCTTGTAATCCTAGCACTTTGGGAGGCTGAAGTAGGCAGATTGCTTGAGCCCAGGAGTTCAAGACCAGCCTGGGTAACATGAAGAAACCCCATCTCTACAAAAAATACAAAAACAAAAAAATTAGCAGGGTGTAGTGGTGCGTACCTGTAGTCCCAGCTACTAGGGAGGCCGAGGTGGGAGAATCACCTGAGCCTGAGGAGGTTGAGGCTGCAGCGAGCCACGATTGTGCCACTGTGCTCCAGCTTGGGCAACAGAGTGAGACTTCGTCTCAAAAAAAAAAAAAGGTAGCTAAATGTTTGGACTAGAAACATATAAGCCCAGGCATGGTAGCTCACACCTGTTATCCCAGCACTTTGGGAGGCTGAGGCGGGCAGATCAACTGAGGTTGGGAGTTCGAGACCAGCCTTATCAACATGGAGAAACCCCGTCTCTACTAAAAATACAAAATTAGCCAGGCGTGGTGGTGCGTACCTGTAATCCCAGCTACTTGGGAGGTTGAGGCAGGAGAATCACTTGAACCTGGGAGGTGGAGGTTGTGGTGAGTTGAGATCGTGCCATTGTACTCCAGCCTGGGCAACAGGAGCAAAATTCCATCTCAAAAACAAAATAAAATAAAATAAAACTTATCTTTAATTCAGATTTAAGAATAGAGGGCATGAAACTCTCGTGTAGGTAGGTGCATCTGGGTTCTGTGCTGTAGGTTTGGAGAGGAAGCTCCCGGGAGGGCCATGGCCCTGTACGTGGTCTCTCTCCTCGCAGCTGTGAGCTCCTGGAACTCAGGACTGATCTTCGTCTATTTGATACCCCTTTATCTAGCATACTGAGGTTCTCGGTGTTTCCAGAATGCATAAGAGAACAGAGTAAGAGGGGGATGGAAAATGAGAGGGAAGGAAGTGGTGAGATATGAAAGGAAAGACTGACACTGATACAACTTCTTCAAAAGAATTCTGGGCTGGGTGCGGTGGCTCATGCCTGCAATTCCAGCACTTTGGGAGGCCAAGGTGGGCAGATCATGAGGTCAGGAGTTCAAGACCATCCTGGCCAACATGGTGAAACCCCATCTCTACTAAAAATACAAAAAAATAAAATAAAATTAGCCAGTCGTGGTGGCAGATGCCTGTAATTCCAGCTACTCAGGAGGCTGAGGCAGGAGGATCACCTGAACCCAGGAGGTGGAGGTTGCAGTGAGCCGAGATCACGCCACTGCACTCCAGCCTGAACGACACAGCAAGACTCCATCTCGAAAAATTACAAACAAACAAAAAAGAATTCTGAGTGTCTACTCTTTTTAGGACTTTAGAAATAAAGAGAAGAGGATATAAAGATAAACAAACAGATGTTCCCACAGTCAGTTAATTCACTCTTTTGTGAAAAAGAAAGATATACAAGTCACCAGGGTACTGGTTTAAAAAACTAACAAAACAGAAAATGTGAAAGAAAATATAAGATCTATAGAGGATCATCAATCCTAGGACTCCAACGTCTATAGTAATTGTAGAAACTAGGAACAGAAACATATAGGGGAGGGAGGAATTTTCCAAATATAAAACAAGAAAACTTGCTAGAACTAAAGAACATTTGACTTCCATCAAAGAATAATGAATGAAAAATAATTTCATCGATTGGGGTATTGGGGTATTGGGCCAAGCATATGACACAGGACTTCCTGGAGGGAAGCCCAGCCTCCTCGCCACCTGGAGATTTTCTGGTGCTCCTAGAATCAAGCATGACTAGTAAAAATATTGAGAATCCTACATGACTCTTGTTCCTTTGTAGGTGACATGTTAGTGTGTTTGTTTATATCTCTGGAATCTTGAAAAGTCTCTGAAACCCCAGCATGTTAAACTTCCATGCTGATGATGTGGGCGTGCCTGGGCAGAGTTATTTGTCATTCATTATTCTTTGATGGAAGTCAAATGTTCTTTGGTTCTAGGAAGTTTTCTTGTTTTATATTTTGAAAATTCTTGCCCCTGCCCCATATGTTTCTGTTCCTAGTTTCTGGGGTTACTATTAGTCAGGCGTTGGAGTTATGAATTGATCCTCTGTAGATCTTATCTTTTCTTTCACATTTTCTGTTTTGTTAGTTTTTAAAATCTATTTTCTCATCTACCAACCCTTCTATTTAAGTTATTTTTCAGTGATTATATTTTTCACTTCCGAGAGCTCTAGGTTGCTTACTAAATTTTCTTATTTTAGAGCTTTCTGTTCTTTTTTGTGCTCGTAATAGTTTCTCAAATTTCTCTGAAAATACAATATGTAAAAAAGTATGTAAAAATGAAGTTTTCTCTTGTTCCCAAGCTATCCTTGTTTTCTTTAGGGTCATTCTTCCTGTTTCATTTTTTTTCTCTCAGCTTTTTGTTTTAAAAATGTTCAAACACACATATAAGTTGAAAGAAGAGTGCAATGGATACTTATATATCCTTTTCTTAATCGTTATTAATTAATATTTTGCCACATTTGCTTTCTTTCTCTCTTTTTGGTTTTTTGGCTGAATTGTTTGAAAACAACTGCAGACATCACAACATTTTACTCCTAAATATTTGTGCATTTCCTTTAAGAATAAGGACATTCTCCTTCAGGACCACAAGATTGTTATCACACCCCAAACACTTAGTATGAATTGAAGAATATTTTCTGTTGTTCTTTCTTTCTTTCTTCCTTTTTGTTTTTTTTTTTTTTTTTTTTTTGAGATGGAGTTTTGCTCTTGTTGCCCAGGCTGGAGTGCAGTGGCATGATCTGGGCTCACCACAACCTCCACCTCCCGGGTTCAAGCAATACTCCTGCCTCAGCCTCCTAAGTAGCTGGGATTTCGGGCATGCGCCACCATACCTAGCTAATTTTGTATTTTTAGTAGAGATGGAGTTTCTCCATATTGGTCAGGCTGGTCTCAAACTCCTGACCTCAGGTGATCCACCCGCCTCGGCCTCCCAAGGTGCTAGGATTACAGGCGTGAGCCTCCGTGCCCGGCTGAAGAATATTTTCTAATATACAATTCATATTTAAGTTCCTCATTTGTGCCCACTGTTACTTTAATAGCATTTGTTTCAGATCCTGGAACCAATCAAGAGTACATATTATAGTTCGCGATTATGTTTCCTTACTCTTTTTTAACCTAGAACAGTCCCCTTCCCCTGCCCCTTACCAATATTTTGGTGGTTTTTTATGTCATTACATTTCTGAAGAGCTCAGGCTAGCTCTCTTGTGGAAATTTCTACACTCTGGATTTATCTAATTGTATAAAGCAGGTTCGGCATTTTTCTAAAGAACACTTCCTAGTTAATTTTAAGATGGCGTGACATCAGGAAGCAGGTGCTTCCTCGTGATTAGATCCCGCCTGTGCACTGTCAGCAGCAACATCACATGCATAAAGCTGCATCCTTTTCAGGGCAGCACACTCAGGGACCCACATGTCCGCCTGCTTTTCATGGCTGATGTTGATTTTGACTACCCAGTCAAGGTGCTGCCTGCTTTATCCACTTATTTTTCCCTTGCAACTAATAAGCCATTTGGGGGGAGAAATGTTAAGACTATGTAGATATTCTGCTCTTCGTCAAACTTTGTACTGTTGATTTATCACCCATTTTCCTGACCTAGGCCATATCCTGCTGGTTGTAAAATGATGGTTTTCAAATTTAACCACTCCCTCTACATTGATCAGCACTTTCTGGCTCTACAAGATGTTCTAGACTCATCTTGTACTTTCCATATCCTAGTCCTAGAATCAGCCACTTCTCCAAGAATCCCTGGTTCTTTGAAGTGGTTGCCTTTATTATTGGAGGATACTTTCACTGGATATTAAATAGGTTATAGGTTGGCAGTCTCCACTCAGCCTTTGGTACTTTGAAGATGTTCCATTGTTTCTTGGCATTATTTATGATGAGGTCAGTGTTTTGTCGTGGTTTCATTAAACTTTTTTTTTTTTTTTTTTGAGACAGAGTCTCACTCCAGCCCAGACTGGAGTGCAGGGGCACGATTTTGGCTCACTGAAACCTCCACCTCCAGGGCTCAAGGAATCCTCCCACCCTAATTAGCCTCCTGAGTAGCTGGGACTACAGGCATGTGCCACCAGGCCCAGCTAATTTTTGTATCTTTTGTAGAGACAGGGTTTCGCCATGTTGCCTAGGCTGGACTGAAACTCCTGGACTCAAGTGATCCACCTGCCTCAGCCTCCCAAAATGCTGGAATTATAGATGTGAGCCACAGCACCCCGTCCTAAACATTTTTTTCGTTCGATGTTTCATTTTTCTCTGACCGCTTTTACAATTGTTTTACTTATCTTCGGTTTTTAGTATTTGAGCTTCTTGGATCTGTGTGGTGATATTTTTTCATTATATTTCTTCAAATACACTTTTTTCCTGCCACAGTGTCTCACCTCCCCTACTGGGACTTCAGTTACACGCATGTTAGACTGCTTAATGTCCCACAGGTCACGAAGGCTCTGTTCACTTCTTTGCAATCTTTTTGTTTCTCTCCGTGATTCACTTTGGATAGCTCTGTTGCCTTCCCTTCAAATTTATGGACTTTTTTTCCTGCAGTGTCTGATCTGCGCTTAAACTCATTCAGTAAATGTTTCACTTCTGATACTGTATTTTCTAATTCTAGAGTATCCATTTTGTCCTTTTCCATAGTTTCCATTTATCTAATCAGTTTCCCCATTTGTTTACTATATTCAGCTTTTCCCTTTAAGTCCTTAACCATATTTGAACATATTTATAATGGATGTTTTAAGATCTGTGTCTGTTAATTCCAGCATCTCTAACATTTCTTGGTTTGTTTTTCTCAACTTTTTTTTCTCCTGATTATGTGTTACATTTTACTGCTAGTTCACCTCTTCAGTGATTTTTTTTTAATTGTATGTGTTACATTATAGACGCTGTGTTGTTGGGATTATGTGGTTTTCCTTTAAAATGTGTTGGGGTTTGTTTTAGCAAGCAATCAATTTACTGGTAGATCAGCATTTTTTTTTTTTTGAGGCTTGTTTTAAGCTATGTTAGGGCTGATTGAGATTACTCCTTTCTTTTACTAGGAATAACCTTAGGAGAGAATAGCTCTATTCCCAAGATGTGGACTTTCTGAAGGTTTGACCAAATTCTGTACTGCCCAGCTACTCTGGCTAGTTGGAACTTCCGTGTCTCTCAGTACTGTGAGAACTCTGTGTAGCTCCCGACTCCCTAACATCTGTCCTCTACCGTGCCTTGCACACGAACGCAGAAATGAGTCTGCATTCTCAGTTGAGTATTTAGCTCAAGACTTAAGGGGAATCCTATGTCGATTTCCGCAGCTCCTTCTCTGTGCAACTCTCTCTTTTCGGTATCCTGCCCCACAACTTTCAGCTGCCTCAGAAGGCTTAAAATCAAATGTCTGCCTTCTCAGCTCAATGAGCTCACTGTGCTGTACTTGGGCTCTGCCTTTCTGTACTGTGGTCTAGAACATGGATCTCACATGGATTTCTCTTTTCACAGGGATCCCGGTTTTGTACTACCTGTTGCCCAATATCTGAAAAAAATTTTATTTATATATGTCATCTAGTTTTTATTGTTTCCAATGGCAAGAAGGCTAGTCCAGTACTAGTCTCTCATGTCTAGAACTGTTAAGAAATTTTAAATGCCAACTACTGTACAACTTTTGAAAAAGCACACTTTTTGAATTCTTATTTCTTCTGTTAGCTTTGGTAAATTTTTTTAGAAAGTTGACTAATTTATCCAAAGTGCAAACTATACTGGTGTAAAGTTGTTTATAATATCCTCTTATTATCTCTTAATGTTTGTAGGATCTGTAGTGATTTCCCGTTTTTTATTCCTGACATTGCTTTTATGTGTATATGTATTTTTTTTTCCTTTTTTCTTGGTCAGTGTTACCAAGAGCTTACTAATCTTTTCATTGAACACTTGGCTTTGTTGGTCTTCTTCTTCCTCCTCCTCCTCCTCCTCTGCCTCCTCCTCCTCTTCTTCTTCCTCCTCCTTCTCTTCCTCCTCCTCCTCCCCCTCTTATTCTTATTCTTCTTCCTCTTATTTTTATTCCATGGATTTCTGCTCTTATATGTATTTTCTATTTTCTCTCTTGTACAGCTATTCTGTTACTAGTTTTTGAGTTGGAAACTTAGATGACTGGTTTTTAGCCTTTCTTCTTTCCTAACATATGCATTCCAGGCTCTACATTCCCCTCGAAATGCTGCTTGAGCTGAATTATGTAAGTTTTGGTATGTTATATTTTCATTACCATTCAGTCTGAAATATTTTACAATTTTTGATGTATTTCTTCTTTGATCCACAGATTATTTAAAAGTATATTGCTTAATTTCCAGGCAATTGGAAATATTTGAATTATCTTTTTGTTATGGATTTTTAAAGCTTAATCCACTATAGTTAGAAAATATGCTCTGAATGGTTTAAGTCTTTTGAAATATATTGGAGAATCTGTTATGGCCTAGCACGCGGTCAATGTTAATACATTTTACATGTTCACTTGAAAAACTACGATAAGTATTTTGTCATTATTGAGTGTAAAGCTCTATATGTATCAACTGGGTCAAGTTTGTTTGTTTGTTTGTTTCCCTTCTTTTCCTCTATGAAGAAGAGTATATAAGCATGAAGACTTTATTGGGTTATTGGGTAATAATTCTGCAATTCCCCTCTCATGAGTGTTAAATAATTTTTATGCCTTTTTCTTTTTTTAATCTGTGTATTGTCAGTTACACAGCAACTGACAAACCTTCAGAGAATAAGGGGAAGCTTTCCTTTCTCTCCTACAAGTAGCACTGAAGAACCAGTTTGTAAAGTTCACATAATTTTTATTGTTACCTTTTAAATAGTTTACAGATTATTCTAAGAAAATCTTTTAATGTATCTCCATGACATTTTATAACACAAAAAAGAAAAATGCTAATTGTATGTATATTATAAAGTTTTACCATCATTTCTAAATTAAAAAGTATTAAATTGAGATCGAAACCACCTTTGCAAAATTATGACACTGAAGCAGTTTCATTGTCTGGGGTGAATACCTGGGGTTCGTCATCTTTTGTTAAGAAAATTTAGGACACAAGGAGTTTAGGAGCGGAGGTTTAATAGGCAGAAGAAAGAGAAAGGAGAACAGCTCTCTCTCTAGTGAGAGAGAGGGGCTCTGGGAAGGGAAAGATGACTGGGTCAAGTTTTTAAGTGTGTTGTTCATACTTTTATATCCTTATCAGTTTTTTTGGTGTGTATACCTTTTCTATCAAGATGTTGAGCGAGAAGTATTAAAATTTTCCTCTATGACTGTGAATTTGTCTTTTTCTCCTTTAGTTCTGCCTAGTTTTCTTTATATATTTTAAAGCTATGTTATCGGCTACATATAGATTTACGACTGTGATGTCTTCCTATTCAATTGGCCACTTTATCATTATGAAATGAACTTATTTCTACTAGAGCTTCATGGCTTAATGTCTACATTGCTTAACATTAGTATCACTATCTTTGGGTAAGCTTTTATGTGGAATATAATATTTCCATCCTTTTGCTTTCAACCATCTGTGTCCTTCTATTTAGTGTGTGTCTTTTGTAAGCAATACTTAATTTTTTTTTTTTTTGACGGAGTCTTGCACTGTCTCCTGGGCTGGAGTACAGTGACGCAATCTCGGCTCACTGCAACGTCCGCCTCCCGGGTTCAATTGACTCTCCTGCTCAGCCTCCCAAGTAGCTGGGATTACAGGCCCTTGCCACCACACCCAGCTAATTTTTTTTGTATTTTTGGTAGAAACGGGGTTTCACTATGTTGGCCAAGCCAGTCTCAAACTCCTGACCTCGTGATCTGCCCGCCTCTGCCTCCCAAAGTGCTGGGATTATAGGTGTGAGCCACCATGGCCGGCCACAAACATTTTTTTTAATTGAAAGGCAGTGACATTGGCTAATAAGCAGTTTTTTGTTTTGTTTTTTTGTTTTTTTTGGATGGAGTCTTACTCTGTCATCCAGCTTGGAGTGCTGGGGCATGATCTTGGCTCACTGCAACCGCCGTCTCCCAGGTTCAAGCGATTCTCCTGCCTCAGCCTCCCAAGTAGCTGGGACTACAGGTGCCTGCCACCATGCCAGGCTAATTTTTTTGTGTGTTTTTTAGTAGAGATGGGGTTTCACCAAGTTGACCAGGCTGATTTTGAACTCCTGACCTCAGGTGATCCACCTCCCTTGGCCTCTCAAAGTGCTGGGATTACAGGCATGAGCCACTGTGCCCAGCCATAAGCCATAGGCAGTATTTTTAAAACCCAGTTTGACAACATTAGCCTTTTACTTGCAATATTTAGTCCATTTGCATTTACTGTTATTCCAGATAAGGTTTGGTTTACAATTACTCTCTGTTTGCATGTTATTTGACACATCTGTTTTATGTCTCTTCTTTTCTTCCTTTCTTGGCTTCTTTTAGATTAATAAAATATTTTTTATAATTATTTTTTCTCGTATTAACTTACAGTTATGCATTCTTTTACTATTCTTTGAGTTTTGCACTAGAGATTATCACATAGGATGACCACTTGATTTTCTTTACTTTGTATGTGATTTGGAATTTTTGCTAACAGAATGTTTTCTTTCTGTTTATAATAGCTTTACTCAGATATGTCTCAGAGGTGGCCATTCTGGTCAATTTTCTTGTGTATATAAATACATTCAACATCTAGATTTAGTCCTTTTTTAATTCCAGAAAGTTTTCTTAGATTATAATTTTCATGGTTAAACACTTTATATTTTATTTTATTTATTTATTTATTTTGAGACACAGTTTCGCTCTTATTATCCAGGCTGGAGTGCAATGGCGCAATCTCGGCTCACTGGAACCTTTGGCTCCCAGGTTCAAGCGATTCTCCTGCCTCAGCCTCCTGAGTAGCTGGGACTACAGGCACCCCAAACCACGCCCGGCTAATTTTTGTATTTTTAGTAGAGACTGGGTTTCCCCTTGCTGACCAGGCTAGTCTCAAACTCCTGACCTCAGGTGATCTCCCCACCTTGGCCTCCCAAAGTGCTGGGATTACAGACGTGAGCCACCACGTCCAGCCAACCTTAACTACTCACGTCCAGCCAACCTTAACTACTTTTAAGTGTACAATTTGATGGGTTTTGACAAATAATTTATAGTTGTGTGATCATTGCCACAATCATTATTGGATTATAGTTTTAAATATTATTTCTGTCCCATCGTTTTGTTTTGCTTTTTAGGCAATTCTAATTATATGTACAGTATATAATTTTTTGTTTATTTTCTATAGCTATCACTTTTTTCTCTGATTGTATTTTACCTGTTTATTTGTTTTTGTTTTCCTGCCTATATCCCTTATTATATTTTCAGTTGAAGGTGAATCTATTTGCCTTTAGGCATCTTGTGATTTAATCTTTATTTCTGAAAAGGTTTAGTTTTTTCTTTTACTTTTTTCCTGAGTTTTATTAACTCACTTCATGAGTTATTTTTGTCCATTTCTGTCCTGATTTTTTGAATTTTGGTGTTCTTTTATATCTGTAAATACCTGTCTAATAATATTTAATTCATATTAGACACTGTGTCATAATTTTCCTGTCTCTTAGTTGTTTTGGCAGGTAAGAAATTCATTAGTTGAAGATAGTAGCCTCTGACTTTCTGTTTTCTTCTCATAGTGGCTTTGTGTAAGTGCTGCATGTCATTTTTGTTTACTCAAAAGTATATTGAATTTTTCTGGCCTATCAATAACAAGTGTTTCTTTGTGAGATGGGGATGAAGGACTTGAGTGGCTTACTAAGATTCTTCGTTCAAGAATGCCCTCTTCTATTGGTACCGTGAAGTTCAATTTTCATGAATAGATGGTGCTTTTGTGAGAGAGAGGTTGGTATGTCTTTTGATTCTGATTCTCTTTTGTTTCTGTGCGACTCTGGCTTTCCACCAGTTTGTTCCTTTCTTTTCTTTACCTCTCAGTTTCTTTACCTTCTACGTTGATTTCCTCTCCCCAGACGTGGTGACTTTCCAAGACTGTACTTCCAGTCCTGTGCACTTCCAAAGCCTCTTCCTCGGGGCTCCTCAGCAGCTAGTGCTGACTCACCAGATCTATTCTCAGTACTTCTCCACTCAAGATGAGTGGATCGCAGACCTAGTAGTTTCCTCCACTCATTGTAGCATCCTACATGGAGTGATTTGAGGAACTGCTAGAAGATTTCGAGCAGAGAGAAGTGATTTTATTTGACTTGTGTTTTGAAGGGATGACTCTGGCTGATGGGTGAAGAACAGATTGGGGAGGGGCAAGGATGGAAGCAGAAAGTGTAGCTCGGGTGGCTATTACAATAATCTACATGAGAAATAACAGTGGCTTTGATTGGGATAGTACTAGTAGACGTCATGAGATTTTGGATTTTTTTTTTTTTTGGAGACAGAGTCTCCTTCTGTCGCCCATGCTGGGGTGCAGTGGCGCTATCTCAGCTCATTGCAACCTCCACCTCCCGGGTTCAAGTGATTCTCCTGCCTCAGCCTCCTGAGTAGCTGAGATTACAGGCATGCATCACCATGCCTGGCTAATTTTTGTATTTTCAGTAGAGATGGGGTTTCACCATGGTGGCCAGGCTGGTCTCGAACTCCTGACCTCTAGTGATACACCTACCTCAATTTATTCTTTAAGTGTAGGAGTGTGTGACTTCACTCTTGCTGGGCATCGCCTTAGGTGCTGTTTATAATGTGGTATCTTATCGCTACAAAGAGCCCGTTTTGTCAATCTTATGATCTGTATTTTAACATTAATGCTGGTTAGTTGTATCTAAACTGCAAAAGGGAGGGGATATAATAGAGCTTGTCCAACCTCACATTCCATCATGGCCAGGAACTCGGTTTTAAGGTTTTTCTGGGGTCCTCTTGGCCAAGAGGGTGTCTATTCAGTCAATGGTGGGAGGGAGGAGAAGGCCTAGAATTTTATTTTTAGTTTGCAACGGAGGAACTTCTGAACTATTCAACAGGCAGGCAGGGCAGGCCTTGGACCATCTATTTCACTGCTGAGTCTGGAATTGGTAGAGTGTGTATGGAAAGGAGGACCTCAGGGAGCAGATCCAGCCACTCAGTGGACAGGGTTTAGCTTGAGCAAAGCGGGCTATGGTCCACAGTGGAGCTAGTCCTGTAAAGACACTAGGCAGAGTCTTGGGGCCAACTGCAGGGGCCATGAAGCAGAGCTCACACCCAGGTAAGGCCCTGGGGGTAGGTGATTGTGACTTGTGGGTGACCAGGTGGCAGGCCCTGGGGCAGTTCCCTTCAGAGCCAAGGCCCACCAGGTCGGGAGACTGCAGGCTGTCACTTGTGGGCTGGTCCTTTTGGGATCTAGAGCTGCAGTGGGCTCAGCAGGGGATGCAGGGAGCTTTGGCTGCAGGAAAGGAATTATCATATAAGGATACTGGCAGATTGCATGGAACCTAAGGATAGGAAGAGACGGGCCCTCGGGAGGATTAGGGAACTGGAAGGCAGGCACCAAGTTCCTTTCTCTCATTGTGGTGCCTATGCATCCTCTGTCTCCCTGGCTCTGCCAGATCTCTCCAGTACTCTTCTGTCTGCCTGGGTCGCTACCCTTTCCTTTCTCTTAGCTTTCTCTACTTTGCCTCAGGCCCAATAAAATCTGCCTCATTCTCTGAGATCTACAGGTGAAGGGCCCATGGAGTTTATCTCAGTCTCATGAGAGGGAACCAGTTGGTAACATCCACACCCCATGCATTTTGCATCCTCATATTGGGGACCAGGCAATCAGTTTGAGAGGTGACCTTGTCCAGTCATGGCCCCCAGGGTTGTGGGAGAAGGAATCTCTAAGAAGAGGGCATGGTCAGGAGAAACGATGAGTGGTTTTAGTTTTTGATCCACTTCGGGCAGTTTGCAGAGTAAGAATCTCTGCCCAGGCCCCACTGGGTTCACCAGCTTAGAATCCCTTTTACTGTCTTATTAAATTAACTTTTATTTTGTCGTAGCTTTTTGTAGACATATCAATTACATCAATAAGATGCATCCATTTTAAGTGCATAATTCAAAAAGGAAAATCACCCAGGAAAAGCAGAGCTCGTGTGTTCATCTGTTTCCTGTTGGTTATAGCAAAACACCTGAAACAGGAAATTTATAAAGAAAAGAAATTTATTTCTTACAGTTCTGGAGGCTAAGTTCAAGACTGAAGGGCCACATCTGGTGAGGGCCTTCTTGCTGGTGGTGACTCTCCATAGAGTCCCAAGGTGGCACAGGGCATCTCATAGTGAGGGGGCTGAGCATGCCAGCTCAGATCTCACTTCCTCTTCTTATAAAGCCACCAGTCCCACTCCCATGATAACCCATTAAGCTATGAATAGATTAATCCACCCATGAGGGCAGAGTCCTCATGATCTAATCACCTCTTAAGAGCCCCACCTCTCGATGCTGCCACATTGGGGATTAAGTTTCAACATGAGTTTTGCAGGGGATGTTACTACCATAGCAGCTGGTAAGACCAGGCACTGAGAAAATCGTCCTGTTTCCTCTGGAGTTCCCATCGAGAGCAGCTCCCCGAAGTTGTCTGTGCTATAATGAAAGTCTGAGATCTTAATCTGGCTCTGGAATAGGATAACAGCAGCTGAAGGGGAAAAACCAGTACCTGCCGTCTCCTGCCGGATAGGAGCTGGATGGCAGGACAAGTGGAAACCTGCTGAGGTTCCTTCACTGGGAAGGGAGTGTCATGCAAGAGACACAGAAGCCCCAAAGGGCCCACACGGAGCCACTAATAGCAGGATGGGGGCAGAAGCTTTGGAGACATAAAGACCAGGACTGGATTTTCAACTCCCCCTTTCCCTAGGCATGAAACACTGGAAAATTCACTCAGTCATCTGACACCGGGTACCTCACATAAAAATTAAGATAACAACATCTTACAGAGTGGGCGCTAAAATTAGAGATAATGTTTGCATGAATCACGGTGCTCTAAAAGCTGGCCATCGTCATCATTTTGGTCCGCGCACACACACACACGCACGCACATACACACGCACACATTAAAAAATAGACAGAGAGATAAAGTGAGTGCCTCCGTGGGTCTCCCCGAGGCATGAAGGTGCTGGATTGAATGTGCGTGGAGAATCTCAGGCAATGCTCTTACAGGTAATGGTACTGGGGGCCACGGGCCTTTCAAGGGCCTTAAGATAATGTTTCACACCTCAAATTAAATGATTGACTCAAAATACAAAATAAAAACTCTACAATTAAAATTGATGAAGGCGAAGTCATCTCCAATGCGACAAACTCATAAATGATACTTTATCCTTAGATGTAAACTCTACAAGAGTTATATAGGCTGTAGTATGTTGGTGTCAGAGTTCTAAGCTTTATATTTTGGCTCCACCACTGTGTGGTTCTGGGCAAGTCACTGAACCTCTCTGTGCCTTTTTCCTTATCTGTAAAATGGGAATAATAATAGTGCGTACTTCAAATAGTTATTGTAAAGTACTTAAAATGGTGTCTGGCACATAACAAGCCTGGCTATTATTATATTTATTAGGATGAAGGTGCATTTTAATATGCTTGATATAATTGGGGTAGGGCTTCCAGAAGTAAAAGGGTCTGAGCCTCATAAAGGCCTTAAAACAACTCTGATCACTTCTATGTGACTGTATTTTTATGTAAATCAGGTATAACTCAGATTGTAAACTACAGAGTGTGATTGCATCTTTATAAAAATTAATGGTTCTCTGCAGGATGGTACTGCTCCCAGAGGTATTTTGGAGATTTGCATGGCTTTTTCTTTTGTCATCATGAACAGGGGTTACTGCTGGCATTTAGTTGGGTCAGACTAGTACAACAAAGATTTCTCGTGTGTCCCTCAGGACTTTTATTTATATTTTATTTATTTATTTATTTTGAGACGGAATCTCGCTCTGTCACCCAGGCTGGAGTGCAATGGCGCGATCTCAGCTCACTGCAAACTCCGCCTCCCGGGTTCAAGTGATTCTCTCACCTCAGCCTTCTGAGTAGCTGAGATTACAGGTAGGCGCCACGATGCCCTGCTAATTTTCATATTTTTAGTAGAGACGGGGTTTCGCCCTGTTGGTCAGTCTGGCCTCAAACTCCAGACCTCAAGAGATCTGCCCGCCTCTGCTTTCCAAAGTGCTGGGATTATAGGTGTGAGCCACCGCTCCTGGTTCCTCAGGACTTTTAATACAACAAACCTGACCGGACATGGTGGCTCACGCTGGTAATTTCAGCACTTTGAGAGGCTGAGGTGGGTAGATCACTGGAGGTCAGGAGTTTGAGACCAGCCTAGGCAAAACCCCGTCTCTACTAAACATACAAAAATTAGTTGAGAATGGTGGTGTGTGCCTATAGCCCTAGCTACTCGGGAGGCTGAGGCAGGAGAATCGCTTGAACCTGGGGGGTGGAGGTTGCAGTGACTGAGATCTTGCCACTGCACTCTAGCCTGGGTGACAGAGCAAGACTCTGTCTCAAAAAATAATAAATAAATAAATAAATAAATAAATACAACAAACCTATTTATGACAATCCAATTTAAAATCTAACTGAACCTAGAATTATATAGGTGAAAAACCTGCTTCTAATTATTTGAGCCTAGAACGAATTCCATTTTATAAGTGAATACAAAGTGGGTTTTTTTTGTCAAGGTTTAGTAAGTACTAAATTTCCTAGGAAGCATCAAATGCATACATCAAGGAAATACGGCGCAGTGCTTTATTTGAAAATTTGTCAAGAGTTCACCATTTTGAAAAGTCACGGATGGCGATCCTGCTTATATTATTGGCATCATCTAATTAGTGTCCATTGTAACTGTCCTCTTCATGGCTACTACCTCTACACAGGAATATACTGATTTAGCCTCTATGGCAAAATGTCAAATATGGAGGAAAAGGGTGAGTATTATTCAGCTGAATGTTAAAAACTTGGTTTTTATATCTTCCCACATGTGGAGAGTTGTCAATATGCCTACTCTACACTTCTTTTAAAATAAACAGTGACCACAAGAAGACAGAAAATAAAGATTGTATAAAGAAATACATTTATAAAGTTGGCAGCATATCATACTTCTGAGATTTAAAGAAGTTTGAAACTAGAATAGCCACGGAATGTTAAAGAAAAATCTCTGAGTAGAAGGTAAAGTTGTTGCTAATTCTTTCAGCATAATATAAATGATTGCAGAATATGGTAAGCAGTATAATATTATAGAAAAAACTCAAATTACCAGTGGTTTATAGGTTATTAGAATGATAGGAAAAAATCCAACTGAAATTTTTTTCTTCACTGAATTCTGATGATACTGTTGTAAGAAAAATCAATGAGATGGTGAAACTGGTGAATATCAGCTGTGTAATGAGACCAGTGGAGCACATTTTCGTTACTAGTGGATAAGATCTCCCAGTGGAACGAGGAAGCTCTCCTGTTCACATGGATAAGGTTAAGAAATGAAAAAAGCCACAGTGAAAATTTATTTTCAAAATTACTGGCAATGTATACAAAGGCACTGACAGCATCCAAAACCCTTGGAATGTATTTCACAGAAAAAAGTAATTCCCTTTCCCATTGTCATTATATTGTACGTGCCACAGATTGAGCCTCAACTAGAATTTCTTGGCAACATGGGTTTGTAGGCCATTAAAAAAATTAGCACCAGATGTTTAGCACGTTGAGAAGACAAACATTTTGTGAAAATTGTATGTTATTTTATTTATTTTGAATTCCTTGTTGTTTTTCAAGATTTTCAGTGTTGCAATGATCTGCCTTTGAAGGCTTAACCTCTCTGAGACCTCTTGTAGTCTCTTATTTTACAGTTTCTTCTTCCAACTTAGCCTTTATTCTCCACCACCTGATGAAATAAAATAACCCTAGACCACAATGAAATAAACAGGGTCCAAAACTTCATCACGTAAAATGTACAGTTGCATTCTTTCAATGTTGATTTAAAAAAATGTCTTTCAGGAGGCTTGTACTATCAAAAAAAGGCACAAAGGTAAAAATATTGAAGCATATTATATACAATTATCCATATATCCAACTGAGCAAGTCCCAATTACGTTATTTTATTTCATTTTTATTCATTACTTTTCAACTTTTATTTTCGATTCAGTGGGTACATGTGCAGGTCTGTTACCAGGGTATATTGTACAATGCTGAGGTCTGGGGTAACAATGATCCCGACACGCAGCTACTGAGCATAGTACCCAACAGTTTTTCAACCTTGCCCCACTCTCTCCCTCCCCACTCAGTGGTCCCCAGTGTCTATTATTACCATCTTTATCTCCATGATTACCCAATGTTTAACTCTCACTTATAAGTGAGAACATATGGTACTTGTTTTTCTGTTCCTGCATTCATTTGCTTAGGATAATGACCTCCAGCTGCATCAATGTTGCTGCAAAGAACATGATTTTGTTCTTTTTTATGGCTGCATAGTATTCCTGGGGAGAGAGATATAGTATTTTCCTTTATATTATATATAACATATACATATAGAATATAATATTATGTGTATATAATAATATATAATATCATATATAATTATATTATGTATTATAGAATACATAATATTATATAATATAATTATAATATAATATATTATAATTATAATATAATTCATTTATATATTTTATACACACACACACACACACACACACACACACACACACACACACGTATTTTCTTTATCCAGTCCACTATTGATTGGCATCTAGGTTGATTCCATGTCTTTGCTGTTGTGACAGTGCTGTGATGAACACGTGAGTGCCTGTGTCTTTTTGGTAGAACGATTTTTCTTTTTAATATATACCCAATAATGAGATTGCTGGGTTGAATGGTAACTCTAAGTTCTCTGAGAAACCTCCACACTGCTTTCCACAGTGGCTGAACTAATTTACATTCCCACCAGCAGAGTATAAGCATTCCCTGTTCTCTGCAGCTTTGCTGGCATCTGTTGTTTTTTGATTTTTTAACAAGCCATTTAATAATTGCCATCTGGTGTGAGATGGTATCTCATTGTGGTTTTGACTTGCATTTCTCTGATGATCAGGGATGCAGAGCATTATTTCACATGCTTGTTGGCTGCTTGTATGTCCTCTTTTGAGAAGGGTCTGTTCATGTCTTTTGCCCACTTTTTAATGGGGTTTATTTTTTATTTGTTGAACCATTTAAGTTCCTTATAGATTCCCTCCCTCCCTCCCTTCCCCTGCTTTCTTTTTTAGTTCCTTACTTTTTTTTTTTTTGAGACGGAGTCTAGTTCTTTCCCTCAGGCTGGAGTGCAGTGGCGTGATCTCGGCTCACTGCAAGCTCCACCTCCCGGGTTCACGCCATTCTCCTGCCTCAGCATCCCGAGTAGCTGGGACTACAGGCGCCCACCACCACGCCTGGCTATTTTTGGTAGAGACTGGGTTGCACTGTGTTAGCCAGGATGGTCTCGATCTCCTGACCTGATTATCCGCCCATCTAGGCCTCCCAAAGTGCTGAGATTACAGGTGTGAGCCACCACACCCAGCCTCTTTCTTTCTTCTTTCTTTTTTTCTTCAGGATTTCATTCCTGTTGCCCAGATTGGAGTGCAGTGGCACGATCTCAGCTCACTGCAACATCTGCCTCCTGAGCTCGAGCAATTCTCCTGCCTTAGCCTCCCAAGAGGCTGGTACTACAGGCACGCACCACTGCGCCCAGCTAAGTTTTGTAATTTTTCTAGAGGTGGGGTTTTGCCATGTTGCCCAGGCTGGTCTTGAACTCCTGAGCTCAAGCGATCTGCCTACCAGACCTCCCAAAGCGCTAGGATTACAGGTGTGAGCCACCTGGCCCGGCCAGATTCTGTATATTAGACCTTTGCTGGGTGCATAGCTTGGAAACATTTTCTCCCATTCTGTAGGTTGTCTGTTTACTCTTTAGTTTAATTAGGTTTACTCTTTAGCTAAATTAGAAGCTCTAGTTTAATTAGGTGTCACTTGTCAATTTTTGTTTTTGTTGCAACTGCTTTTGAGGACTTAGTCATAAATTCTTCCCCAAGGCCAATGTCCAAAATGGTGTTTCCTAGGTTTTCTTCTAGGATTCTTATATTTTGAGGTATTACATTTAAATCTTTAATCCAGCTTGAGTTAATTTTTGTATGTAGTGAAAAGTAGGGGTCCAATTTCATTCTTTTGCATATGGCTAACCGGCCATCCAAGCACCATTTATTCAATAGGAAGTCCTTTCCCCATTGCTTATTTTTGTTAACTTTGTTGAAGATCTGATGGTTATAGGTGTGTGGCTTTATTTCTGGATTCTCTATTCTGTTCCATTGGTCTATATGTCTGTTTTTGTACCAGTACCATGATGTTTTGGTTACCGTAGCCTTATAGTTAGTTTGAAGTCAGGTAATATGATGCCTCTGGCTTTGTTCTTTTTGCTTAACGTTGCTTTGGCTATTTGGGCTTTTCATATTATTATTATCACTATTACTAGAGGTAGAGTCTTTCTCTGTTACCCAGGCTGGAGTGCAGTGACACCACCATAGCTCACAGCAGCCTTGAACTTCTGGGCTCAAGCATCATCCCACCTCAGCCTCCTGAGTAGCTGGAACTATAGGTGTGTGCCACCATGCCTGGCTACTTTTTAAAATTTTTTTTTGTGTCAGACTCAGGGAAAAAAGAAAAAATTTTAAAACTAAATATAAGACCAAAATAAAAAAAAGAGAAAACAAATTTTTGTAGAGATGGGGTCTCACTGTGTTTCCCAGGCTGGTCTCGAACTCCTGGCCTCAGGTGATCTTCCCATCTCAACTTCCCAAAGTGCTGGGATTACAGCCATGAACCACTGTGCCTGGCCTCAATTCAGTTACTTCAGAACATGTCCCCTGTGTCCCCTGTTTCCCCCTAGTACTGAGCCTGCACTATTACCTGCAATAGCTGTGCCTGCGATTCTCCTGCCAACATGATCACACACATTCAATCCAGTACCTTCAATGCAACCAGGCAGACCGACGCAGGCACTCACCCTCTCTTTCTGTGTGCGTGCAGACCAAATTGATGGCAATGGCCAGCTTTCAGAGCCCCATAAGCTGTGCATATCCCAAACATTACCTCTAATCGAAGCACCCACCCTGTAGGGTAAGTGTTATTATCCCTTTAGTTTGCTTCAGTTTGAGACTCACGTTTGAGAACTGAGGCAAGGCAAGAACCCGGAGTGCACCTCATCACATGAAAATATGCATTATCTTGTAGGTTACTGAATATGGCCTTCCAGGTCTTTTGAAGTAGCAGGATGCATATCTTGAATGAGTATTGGAATTTCAAAAAGGGAGATAAGATTGCTGAGGTATTTAATCGTTACCTGTTCCACATCATAGAGGGACGTTTTCAACATTACTCTTATAAATGAGGCCAGTGTTATTCTGAGAATATTATTCTTTCTTACTTTTCCTCTTTGACAGACTGTTATTTGCTTGGCATGTTATTCCTGTTTCTATTAAGGTTATTCCCTCTTTGGTTTATAGACTAATGAGCCTGGTATGTTTTTATGTATCTGAACACTAATTTTAATTCTGATGTTAACTGGAACCTCTTGTCTTTCATTCTTCAGTATTTGTGTAAAGAAATGCTTTCAATATTCTTACTTCTAAATCCAAACTGACTCATGCAACCATATGATCTATTATGTATTCTAGTAAAACTGTTCTGGATCATTTACATATGAAGATGCATATTATTTTGTTATGATCATTTCATTTCTCCTTTTATGACAGAGTGTGAGAAAAAGCAGTCCCTGACACCCAAGTTGGCTTGGCACTCACTTGTGGGGTTTTTCTGTTACATGTAAACAATTCCACAGAACACCGGTATTGGATAAGGCCACCCAGATGGGGATGGCTCTAGATAAAAACAAGAACATTCCCTAATCACGTCTGAACATAGACAAAACATGAACATTCTCCAAACCACAGAGATGACCAAACCTCCCCGTATCCTGGCTAATAGGAGTGACTGCTGCTTTTTCACATTGATAGCTTTAGCCTGGCTCTAGTCTTCCCTCCTTCTAGATGAAGTTAATTAAAATACCCAACCATAGAACTGCTCCCACTTCTTGACAGCATCCAATCCAAAGCAAAGCACCGCTTTCACAAATCTTTCCAAAAGCTGCCCCCCAAACCCTAAATCCGATAGTAAGTCCTTTCTAATACCCTCTTACCAAGACATCCTGCATTTCCCCGTGGCGTGCATTCTCCCTCCTTGCAATGTGCAATAAACTGAACTTGTTCAACTGCAAGTGTGTTCCCAAGGGTCTTTGGCTGGGAGGCGTTGATAGATATAATGATGTTTTTGGAATTATGTATACAGATAGATTATATTATCTATGAATTCCATTTCAAGATAGTAAATGGGCTTTGCAAAGCATTTGCTACAAAAAGTGGGTATTGAATTTGGTAGGATCATTGATAACAATTTTCTGATCATGACCCTGCCTAGGGCTAAATCCTAAATCCTGGTAGATTGCTACATTTGCATAGAAATCCTGCTTGTGAAGGTAAGGTTTGCTTGAGGATGCCACTTAAATGATTGGTTAGTATTAAATCACCCCACCCTTCCCATGCCCAAATTGTCCTCAAACTAAATACAGAACAAGCTATTCTGCTTTACAGCTTAAGAAAAATGAGTAGGGAGGGACTGCTCCAGGTCAGTCTTGTCTTCCGGACTCTGGCTTTGATCCCCTTTGTCATATAGGATACTATTGTCTGGGCATTATTAGGTCTTGTTATGCTCATTTAGGACACTCATGTATCCCTATCATTTGTTCTTCAGATGTGTGCTTTTTCTTCTGCCAGCACTTCTGGCATCTCAATCGTGTTGCAGGAACTGTTAAAGTAAATGAGTGGATAAAAGTGTTTTTATGACCTTGCAGAATGAAACTAACATCCTTTCTTACTTTTCAAAAACTAGCTGCTTTAAAAGGGAGGAATAGGCACTTAGGAAATTCTGAGACGCCCCAATGATTAAGATAAATGCTGCTTCATAAATAAAAAAAAAATTAGCTACATATGTAAGCATTGTTTCCCAACGACATACCCTCTCCATCTCGGCATACTTTTGCCACTTGCTGTGCCTGGGTGCATGATGAAGACCAACTTGTCAAAGAAGTGTTGCTTTTAAGAATGTGGGAGGAGGTAGTTTAGATTACTTAGGGCTAATCATTAATATATGATTTAGTAAGTTCATTGTTTATTTTTTATCCAACCATACCTCCACCCCAGGTCCATGAGGGCGGGGACTTTTGATTGGTTTGCTGTTGCCTGTCAAGAGCTTTAAAAATGCGAAATAAATATTTACTCCGTGCACAAATGACTGAATCAGTCCAGCCCTCAGTGATTCATCTGTTTTCCCTCTTCCTTTTCCCATATCGGGTGTGCGAACCTCTGCTCACCAAGTACCAGTCGGGTCCTTCTCCTGCCCACGTGAAGGAAGAAGGCGCAGTGGGGCTGAGGCCTCACTAGGGCACCCACACGGAGCGCTGCGCTCAGCCTTCTGGACCCGGTACCTCCCCAGGCTCTGAGGACAGCAGCAGCCCCAGGACGGACGGGTACGCCAAGTCCTGGGGACCCTCTCCCAAGCTCTGTCAGGGCGGCGGGGTGGCGCGCGCTCCTCCCTCGGGCGCTAGCTCTGGAAATCGCGCTAGGCAGAGGTGGGCTTGTGTCCGCACCCGCAGCCTCCGCGTCAACACCCTAGGGGAGAGGGACGCGGGCAGGGGTGCCGGGCCCAGGCTCCCCAGCCATTCTCAGGCCAGAACCCCCTTTTTAACAAGACATGGCCTTGGTGTGTCGCGGACTCTGCCGGGGACAGTCTGGCAGAACTGGGCTCCTTGCGCTCCCCAGTATACCGGCTAATTCCGTGCCCTTTGCAAACTTCATATTTTGATTTCAAATTTAAAAATAATCAATAGGCCGGGTGCGGTAGCTAGCTCCTGTAATCCCAGCACTTTGGGAGGCCGAGGCGGACAGATCGCCTGAGGTCAGGAGTTCGAGAGCAGCCTGGCCAACACGGTGAAACACCCTCTACTAAAACTACAAAAAAATTGCCGGGCATGGTGGCAGGCGCCTGTAATCCCAGCTACTCGGGAGGCTAAGGCAGGAGAATCGCTTGAACCTGGAGGCGGAGGTTGCAGTGAGCCGAGATCGGGCCACTGCACTCCAGTCTGGGCAACAAAAGCGAAACTCTGTCTCAAATAATAATAATAATAATAATAATAATAATAATAATAATAATAATAATAAACAAATATAAAAATAATCAATAGCATTACCCATATCCTTTCTTTTGTCCGTGGTAAAACAATCAAAAGTATTTTTTAAAAAGTGAAAATGAAGTCTCCCTCCCAGTCCCCACGCCCCCAGGTTCAGTCCGGGGCGCCTGGACAGGTTGGCATTGGAAAGCGTGAGGAAGCAGCCACACCCAGAGCGCACTGCGGCTATCAGAGATGGGGTCTCCGGATCTGCGACTTCCACGAGGCGCTCGCGAGGGGGAAGTTAGGAACTGGTTTCGCAAGGAAGGATGCGGTTGGCACACAGTGCGAGGAGAAAGGGGTTCTTCGGGCTGAGCGCGGGCTCGCTCAGCTCAGCGTCATCAAAGAATTGCAAAGTAGAGAAGAAAGCGGCTGATTACCAAGGACGCCTTGGGCAGTGAGGAAGGGGGAGGGTGAAGGGGAGCCAATATATGTGGGCTCCCAGGGTAGCCAGAAGGCGGCCCTCAGCAGTATCTAGGGAGCGGGAGAGAGGGACAGGGGGTCGGGGGAGAGAGAGGAGGAGAGAAGAGAGAGGGGAGGACGGAGAGAGAGAAACCTGTGAGGATTCAGACCGATGCCTGGGTGAGACTTTGAGGGCTGGGGACCGTGAATATGGCTCGCTAGCCTTCCTGTGGTCCCTTTTGCACTCACAGGCTAGTGAGCAGAGAGGGAACTGGATTTTCTTTTCTTTTCTTTTCTTTTTTTTTTTTTTTTTTGATACGGAGTCTAACTGTGTAGCCCAGGCTGGAGTGCAGTGGCGCGATCTCGGCTCACTGCAAGCTCCGCCTCCCGGGTTCACGCCATTCTCCTGCCTCAGCCTCCCGAGTAGCTGGGACTACAGGCGCCCGCCACCACCCCTGGCTAATTTTTTGTATTTTTAGTAGAGACGGGGTTTCACCATGTTAGCCAGGATGGTCTCGATCTCCTGACCTCGTGATCCACCCGCCTCAGCCTCCCAAAGTGCTGGGATTACAGGCGTGAGCCACCGCGCCCGGCCGGAATTGGATTTTCGATTTCCATCTAGTGTATGATAAGCCCTCAATAACCATGGCGAATGAACTAAATAACTACCTCACATACTCTCATTAGACAGAATAATGCTCAACGTGGTCCCGGGATTAACCTCAGTCCCACCTTAAGATATTGGCAAAATCCTTAGTTGGGTAAGACTCAGGGAAAGTCCTTGTCTTCAGAACATTCATCTCTTCTTTTCATTCATTTTTCCCTTCTTCTTTCTTTCAGCCTGGGTGACAGTCTCACTCTGTCACCCAGGCTGGAGTGCAGTGGCGTCCAGTCCAGTGTATTCTGCAGACAGTGCCAAGGCCAGCACTTGGTTAATGAAGCTTGGGCAACACCATGGGGCAAAGCAGGACCAGTTTCATTAGACTTGAGCAAATCTGCGTTTCCTTCACAGGGTAGGAAAGGAAGGAGGAAGGGAGAAATAAGGAAGGAGCCTTTGCTGTCTACTCCCGGTCCTGAAACAGGGCCAATCTTTAGTATCTGCGTTAAAACATGTTCCTGGCTTTCCTTCTACACCTGGCTGCTTTTTCTTGGTCTGCTCCCAAGTGCCTCTCTTTCCTTTCCCAACTATATGTGGGTGCCTCCCAGAGTTCTAAGCCCTCCTCCTTGCACCCTGTCTCTCGTGGCCTCAACCCATCTCCATGGATTTAATGGCCATTCACTCATGCATGATGCCCGGATTTCCCTCTCTACCCATCCCTTTCTCTGGAGCTCCAGACTCATACATCTAGTTGCTTCCAGAACACCTCAAACTGCATCTCTCCATCCAGAATTCATCTCTTGCTCTCCACCTCCCTGCCCTGGTTTTCATGATCTCAGCGATTGTGTCCACTTTCCTCCCAGCTGCCCAGCCTGTGGCTCCTTCCCCCTCTTGTTCAGCCCACCAGTCTCAAGCCCCGACATCCCGTCAGGAGCCATTTAAATCAGCTCTCCAATGCATGCAATTTCCTCTTTCCCCTTATCTGGCCACCATCACCTGTTAGATTCCACACTGGTTCCTAAGTTTCCAGGTTTGCTCTGCTTCTGGCCTCATTCCACATGAAGCCATATTCCAAAATGGGTATTTGATAATTACTTCAGGATAAGTGCAAAGTTACTTCATGTGGCCCAGAAGGACACTGACCCTTGTCTGCTTTTCCGTGGCACCACTCCCAGCTCAAACACCAAGTTCAGCCATCTCGCTTTTGTTCACATCCTTGAATGTTCATGCTCTCTGTGGTCTGGCAACCTGCTTGTGGCCCTTTCTTTCCCTCTCCCCCAGTTTTTCTCCACTTGGTCTGGCCATACTCATGCTTCAGGCCCCTGTGGAAACATCACTTTTCTCAGATATGTTCCCTGACTTCCAAGTCTGGTTAGCTGGCCCTCGTCACAGCCCTTTTCATACTGCGCTCGGCTTACTGTTTATTTGCCTTTCTCCTCCCACTGGACTATAATCAGCCTAAAGTCAGGGACCCTAGCATCTGGGTCACTTCATTATTCTCAGGGCCTAGCATGGAGTCTGGCATATAATAGATGCTTAATAAATATTGAATACCTACTTAGATGAATAAAGGGAAGAATTGAATTGCTGGAAATAAATGAAGATCAACCAAATGAGAACAAGCAAAGACGATTGATTCAGAGCTTGCTATAGCAAGGGAGTTGGCCACCATCACTTGTGTTTTGACAGAGAATCCAAAGCAGGTAGAGGAGTGGGAAAGCTTTATAGTGGAAAAAAGGGAAAGGCTTCATGTATGCCCTGGTTGAGGCTGTTGGCCTCTAAATATTATTTTTTAATCTTTAAAAATAAGTGTCACTGGCCGGGCGTGGTGGCTCACGCCTGTAATTACAGCATGCTGGGAGGCTGAGGCTGGCAGATCACCTGAGGTCAAGACGTCGGGACCAGTCTGGCCAATATGGAGAAACCCCATTTCTACTAAAAATATAAAATTAGCCAGGCATGGTGGTGCATGCCTGTAATCCCAGCTACTCAGGAGGCTGAGGCAGAAGAATCGCTTGAACCCAGGAGGCAGAGGTTACGGTGAGCCAAGATCGCACCATTGCACTCCAGCCTGGGCAACATGAGTGAAACTCCATCTCAAAAATAAATAAATAAGTAAGTAAGTGTCACTTACCTGCACACCCAGCACTCTCTCTCGCACTAGGGAGAATATGTAAGGGAAGAGGTCCATATAGTATTATACAGTCAGAACTGCAGTTAGAACTTATAGTGATTAAATTCCCTTTTTTTTTTTTTTTTTTTGAGACAGAGTCTCGCTCTGTTGCCCAGGCTGGAGTGCAGCAATCTCGGCTTACTGCAACCTCCGCCTCCAGGGTTCTGCCTCAGCCTCCCGAGTAGCTGGGATTACAGGCACCTGCCACCACACTGGGCCTTTTTTTTTTTTTTTTTTTTGTATTTTTAGTAGAGATGGGATTTTACCTTCTTGGCCAGGCTGATCTTGAACTCCTGACCTCTTGATCTACAAGCCTCTGCCTCCCATAGTGCTGGAATTACAAGCATGAGCCACCATGCCTGGCCTTAAGTTCCTTTAAAGTGAAGTTATTGGCCGGGCACGGTGGTTCACACATGTAATCCCAGCACTTTGGGAGGCTGACGTGGGTGGATCACCTGAGGTCAGGAGTTTGAGACCAGCCTGGCCAACATGGTGAAACCCCATCTCTACTAAAAATACAAAAATTAGCCAGGTGTGGTGGTGGGTGCCTATAATTCCAGCTACTCAGGAGGCTGAGGCAGGAGAATCGCTTGAACGCGGGAAGCAGAGGTTGTGGTGAGCCCAGATCTTGCCACTGCACTCCAGCCTGGGTGATGGAGTGAGACTCCATCTCAAAAATAAATAAATAAGTAAAAATGAATTATTATTATTATTATGGAAGGGCTCCAAAAATCACGACAAATACAATTGATGGAAATCATGCCGGAGTGGTCATACTCCAATATGCAGGATATGAAGGATAATTTTATGTGTCAACTTGTCTAGGCTCTGGCACCCAATTGTTTGGTGAAACATCAGTCTAGATGTTGCCATAAAGGTATTTTTGGGTTATAATTAATGTTTAAATCAGTAGACTTTGAGTAAGCCTATTACCCTCTATAATGTGCATGGGTCTCATGCAGTCAGTTGAAGGCCTTAGAGAAAAGATAAGGTCTCCTAAGGAAGAAGGGATTCTGCCTCCAGACTGCCTTCAGACTCAAGACTGCAACATCACCCTTCACTGTTCTCCCATCCGCTGGCCTGCCCTGCAGATTTTGGACTTGCCAGCCCCAACAATCGCATGAGATGGTTCCTTAAGATCCCTATTAACTACCAGCAATTGCATGAGCCTGCCCCTTAAAATCCCTGTTGTCTATCTACTCATCCATTCATCTATCTACACATCCTGTTGGTTTTGTTTCTCTGAAAAACCCTAATACACTGGGCAAGGGCCAGATGTGCAGACAAAAATTCTCCCCACAACAGCACAAGTGAGTGTATGCAGGACTAACCTCTTTACCTCACTCCCACCTTTCCCTCTAGTCTTCTGCAACTCTAATTCCTCTTTATCAATTCAGACCTAGGATCATATAACACTTATTCACATTTTTTGTCAGAGGGATTATACTATAGCCGTTGATTTTCAGCCAGTGTTTGAGGTCATTAACGTTATAAGTATCTTGTTTTCAAGTTGAAGAAGGAAGGATTCTCTAACAAAGAATGTTCCATGAACAGGTGAAGGGATGTGTTTATCATAAAGCATCCTGAAGTATATCTGTGGTAAGCCTCCAGGGTGAGGGCAGAGCCAGGCTTTGTGAGGCCGAATGCTTACACAATTTAAAGGACCCTCTTTAGGAAAAAAGAATACACAAAAATAGTACATTTGCAAATTCTCAGTGATATGCGGATCATGCGAACACCTTGCTAAAGCCTCTCCCAGGGCCTTGGACAGGATGAGTAAGGTGAAGGGCCTTGAAGCTTAAACTTAATTAGTTCCGGTATATCTGGCTCTGCTTCAGGGCTTTTTGGGGTGGGGAGAGAAAGACAGGTGCTGGCCTCTCCCTGGGTTGGTTCTTCCTCCTCTGGGGAGGAAAGTTGGGGCTGGCCTGGTTCCAGCTGCTTGAGAGACACATTTGTTTTCCTCTAAGATCCAGAGTCTTCCCTCCCATCCAAGCCCTGCCAGTGTGAGTGGCCAGATTTTTGGCTCCTTCTTTATCCCTTTCCCTTCTCCCCTTCTCTAATATCAACCCCTTGTCCCAGAGTCTCCACGGCCTGTTTTCTGTGCTCTTGTGTACTGCTTCTTTAGAGTGCACCCAATTGTCTTGTCCCTTCTTTTCTTTTCTTTCTTCCTCCCTCCCTCCCTCCCCCCCTTCTTTCCTTCCTCTCTCTCTCTCTCTCATTTATTTATTTATTTATTTATTTATTTATTTATTTATTTATTTTTGAGTCAGGGTCTCACTCTTTCACCCAGGCTGGAGTGTACTGGCATGATTACGACTCACTGCAGCCTCTACCTCCCAAGCTCAAGTGATCCTCCCACCTCAGCCTCCTGAGTAGCTGGGACCACAGGTCTGTGCCACCACACCTGGCTATTTTTTTTTTTGTATGTTTTTAGAGACAGGGTTTTGCCATATTGTCCAGGCTGGTCTCAAACTCCTGACCTCAAGAGATCTGCCCACCTCTGCCTCCCAAAGTGCTGGGATTATAGGTGTGAGCCACTGCGCCTGGTCTACACCGATTCTTTAGAGTGCATCCAATGATATTTTCAAATAACAGTGTGCAGTCTGTCTTGTCTGCCATCCTGCAAACCTCTCTGTGCTTCTTGAAGCTTCTCATGGTCTGAGGAGAGCATTCCAGGCTGCACACGGGGTGTTGTAATTGCAGCAGCTTCATCATGGGGACTTTTCTCTATGGTTCTTTCTCCACATCTATGGCCAGCATCTCTTTTCTTTTTGCCTCTTCAGATTTCTAAATGCTGGGTGTGTCCATCTCACTTAAGCTGACTCATACTATTAGAAGCAATGGCTTCCTAACTGTACCCAGAGATATGTAATTTTATATAATTTGCTTTCATATATTTCACCAAATATGTGAATTTATTAGCATCCCATTCTGAGAGAAGACCAAAGATCTGAAAATATTCCTGCACATTCCAGGGGACTGACACCCTCAGATTCTCTCTCAGCTCTGAGTTCCTGTGTCTTCAGAAGCACTGAGATCACTTGCACCCCATTTCATGGCAATTCTTTCCCCCTCCTCCGTGTTCTTTTCCTGTCAATTGAGATATGGGCTCTTTCTCTGGCTTCCCTCAGAATCACTCACATGAGACGTGTACACATGTAATAGACTTTACTGAATGAGTTGGAACAATGGAGTTGTTTTGTATCACAGAAAAACACAAACAATTTAAAATCATATTTAAATCACCTTCATTTCTGACAAGCAGCTTTGGAATTCCTCCGTGGCCTCCTTTCTCCCTCTTCTTGATCCCCTGCTAAATTGATTGGAACCACACCCCCCTGCAACTGCCCAAGCTTCTCATTCCTTCCTCTCTCATAAGGCAGAAGTGGCCTCATTTAGTTTAGGTTTAAAACACAAAAAATGGCCGGGTGCGGTGGCTCATGCCTGTAATCCCAGCACTTTGGCAGGCTGAGGTGGGAGGATCGCCTGAGGTCAGGAGTTTGAGACCAGCCTGGCCAACGTGTTGAAACCCCGTCTCTACTAAAAATGCAAAAATTAGCTGGGCATGGTGGTGGGTGCCTGTAGTCCCAGCTACTCAGGAGGCTGAGGCAGGAGAATTGCTTGAACCTAGGAGACGGAGGTTGCAGTGAGCCGAGACCAAGTCACTGCACTCCAGCCTGGGTGACAGAGTGAGACTCCATCTCGAAAACAAACAAAAAACAAACATGAAAATTCCTCATACTGCCATACTGAGAGTGAATAAAAAACAGAGAAATTGAGAAAACAGAAGACTTCACCATTATGGAAAAACGGACCCCCTGTCTTTCACACATTGAGAGACTTCATTTGCAGGCATACCCGTGCATACCGTAGTCCTGCCCCATCTAAGAAATATGGTGTCTACGGGCGCTCTTTCCTCTCTGTCTACTTCCTCAATTCATTTCCTCCTCTTGGATCCTGAAAACTGCCAGAAAAAAGCAGCACTCCTGTTCTCATTTCATGTATGTGCTTGGCCAGAATAATGAGAGAGAAAAGAGACAGACCTGGAGAGAAGAGAATGATGGATGAGAAGTTACCCCAGGGGCTGGCAGGTTTATTTGGGAACGAGAAAGATGGCTCCCGAGATAGAAGCTAGCCTGTGAATTCTAAGGCATTTCCATGCTATGCGTGCTGTGGGCACCCTTGAAACTCTCATTACAAAAGGCATAGAACAAAGACAGTTTCTGTACCTAGACGCCTCCATCCAGCAGCACAGCCTCTGCCCTGAGCTTCTCAAGCTCTTCACCACTGGAATTGGTGAGGCACGGCTAGTACCTGGCCCCTGGTAACGCTGTCCAGGAGGAGCAGTGACGGTGCCAGAGGCTGCAGAGGCCATAGACAGCAGCCAGCACGGCAGCCCCCAAGCCCAGGTGCCAGGAGAAGAAGCGAGTGAGGAAGGCAAGGTCCATGGGGTTCTCCACCTGCAGGGCTGTCCGGAGGGAGGCGCAAACATCAGCACACACAGCTGCAGCATCCAGTTGCTGAGCCCCAGCCCCACCCAGGTCTTGAGCACCCAGAGCTGGGGCTGGTCAGGGACCCAGACCTTGATGGTGAGCACCAGGGAGACCAGGAAGGGGGGCACGCTGAAGAGCTCACGCACACGGATCTCCAGGGTGCCCTTGTTCTCAATGTGGGCTGCCATCAGTAGTGCCAGCACATAGGAGCCCAAGGCCTTGACTGCTTGCTCTAGCTTCATATTCTACCATTCCTGACACGACTGGCTTACAATGTCCACCACGCCAGTGAGCATAAAGAACTCGTACATGGTGATGTGCTGCCAGCTGTCCTTGAACACGAATGGCCACCGCGGATCCTCCCAGTCTACCACCATCAGCCGATTTACTCCAGACGGGTAGAATAACTTGGGTAAGATGCCAGCCAGGGTGATGACCACCTTCACCACACCTTCTAGTGGCACCAGCTACCACCACCTGTGTCCTCACTTCTCCCTGGAGGGCAGAGGGAGTTTGAGGAGCCTCTGTTCCTGTAGCAGGGCCAGAGACACCAGCACCATATAGTAGAGTGAGTAGAGAAGGAAGAACATTGCTGGCAGCAGGTGTCCCTCGAGGGTGCCCATGGCTTTAGTGTGTGTGTTGGGGCCAACGGGGCGAGAGCTGGTAGATGAGCAGCAACCTCACACACACATGACCGGCATCCTCACAGGCAGGAGTGGCTGCCTCTGAACCACGGAGAGATCATGCTGACGAGCCCCACCCCTGCCTCCCACACACAGAAAGGAATAGGTCTTGTTGCAGAAACCTGAGCCACACCCCAGGGTGGGACGCCTTTAAGAGGGTCCTCCAGGGTGGGACCGCTGCAGCCACCTTGCTCTGCTCCTTACTTAAATCGGCTAGGCCCAGCATTTCAATCTGTGCACCTCACTGCAGATGTCAGTTTCACAGATGCTGATTCAGCGTTTCTTTCACCAGCCCCTCTGCCACAGCGCCCTACCCCTGCAGAGAGGAAACAAAGAGAGTGAAGGAGCTCCAGCAAAGAGGAGTAGGGCTGACTCTCAGGCTGACTTTTCTCTCAGTGCTTGGCACAGTACATACTTTTCTCTCATTTAACAACTCTATGAGGGAGGTGTTATTAGGTGAAATTTTACAAGTGAAATGAAGGTCCAGAGCGGTGCAGAGACATGCACAAAGTGGTCCATCTGCCAGCTGGCACAGCAGAGCCAGGACGTGGACCCGGGTCTGCTCATCCAACAAAGCCTGAAGTTTATGCACAGCAAAACTACTGACATTCACTTCCAACCCCGTAATCATGACTGTGGGGAATTTACTTGGTCTTCTTGAGTCTCAGCTTCCTGATGTGTAGAATGGGAATAATAATTACTTCATAGATTTGTTATGAGAATTAAATGGGATTATATATAAAGTGTCTGATACATAGTGAATAATGATGGTGATTATGAATAATTTAGCTTTTTTTTTTTTTTTTTGAGATGGAGTCTGGCTCTGTCACCCAGGCTGGAGTGCAGTGGCACGATCTTGGCTCACTGCAAGCTCCGCTTCTTGGGTTCACACCATTCTCCTGCCTCAGCCTCCTGAGTAGCTGGGACTACAGACGCCCGCCACCGTGCCCAGCTAATTTTTGTATTTTTAGTAGAGACGGGGTTTCACCGTGTTAGCCAGGATGGTCTCGACCTCCTGACCTCTTGATCCCCCCACCTCGGCCTCCCAAAGTGTTGGGATTACAGGCGTGAGCCACTGCGCCCGGCCCTCCTATTGTTATTACTAGCAGTCCTTGCTAAATTTCTATGATCCTGAAGTTTTTAAAGTATTTCTTTGAATGATACCAAAGCAAGAGTCATAAAGAAAAACAGTAACATATTTAATTATATTAAAAATTGTAAGTTATTTATTAATAAAAATTAAACATGTACTGATTAAAATTACAGTTTAAAATTTTCAAAAGAAAAACAAAATAAAATTGTGCCCCATATGTAAGAAAGTGTTAGTCTCCTTACAACATAGAAAGCACTTACAAAGAAAAAAGTTAAAAATATGGCCAGGTGCCGTGGCTCACACCTGTAACACCAGCACTTTGGGAGGCCAAGGAGGGCAGACCGCTAGGTCAGGTATTCGAGACTAGCATGGCCAACATGGTCAAATCTTGTCTCTACTAAAAATACAAAAATTAGCCAGGCATGGTGGTGCGTGCCTATTATCTCAGCTACTTGGGAGGCTGAGGCAGGAGAATTGCTTGAACCCAGGAGGCAGAAGTTGCAGTGAGCTGAGATCATGCCACTGCACTACAGCCTAGGTGACAGAGCAAGACTCCATTTAAAAAATAATAAAAAATAAAAAATAAATAAACACCTCAGGAGAAAAATGGACAAAGGACAGAAAGTGGCTATTCGTGCCAAGGGAACTATAGATGCCTCATAAACATGAAAGGCAAAAAAATTGGGGGCTGTAGCATTCTTGGTTGACAGGCTTTCCTTTTTCTTTTAGCACTTTGAATATATCAGCCCCCTGCCTTCCGGTCTCCAAACTTTCTGATGAGAAATCTGCTAGTAATCTTATTGAGGATCCCTTGTATATGACAAGTGGCTTCCCTCTTGCTGCTTTCAAGAGTCGCTCTTTGTCTTTGTCTTTTGATGGTTTAATGATGATGTACCTTAATGTAGATCTCTAAGTTCATCCTACTTGTTGAACTTCTTAGATATTTATGTTCATGTCTTTCATCAAATTTGGAATGTTTTCAGCTATTTCCTTAAATACTCTCTCTGCCCTTCTCTCTCTCTTCTCCACTGGCTGCGGCAAGGACTTTTCATTAACACAGAGACATAGAATTGCTGCTACAGAGGAGGTAGAGAGGTGTGGCTGAAATCCAGAGGAGGTAGATAGGTGTGGCTGAAATCCAGAGGAGACAGAGGGGTGTGGCTGAAATCCAGAGGAGGTAGAGAGGCGTGGATGAAATCCAGAGGAGGTAGAGAGGTGTGGCTGAAATCCAGAGGAGACAGAGGGGTGTGGCTGAAATCCAGAGGAGGTAGAGAGGCGTGGATGAAATCCAGAGGAGGTAGATAGGTGTGGCCAAAATCCAGAGGAGACAGAGGGGTGTGGCTGAAATCCAGAGGAGGTAGAGAGGCGTGGATGAAATCCAGAGGAGGTAGAGAGGTGTGGCTGAAATCCAGAGGAGGTAGAGAGGCGTGACTGAAATCCAGAGGAGGTAGAGAGGCGTGGATGAAATCCAGAGGAGGTAGAGAGGTGTGGCTGAAATCCAGAGGACGTAGAGAGGTGTGGCTGAAATCCAGAGGAGGTAGAGAGGTGTGGCCAAAATCCAGAGGAGGTAGAGAGGTGTGGCTGAAATCCAGAGGAGGTAGAGAGGTGTGGCCGAAATCCAGAGGAGGCAGAGGGGTGTGGCCGAAATCCAGGTGCTTCACCAGGTTGTTTTCTTAGGCTTGGGTCCAGTGGTAGTTAAAGAAAGACACTTCCATAATCCTAAGTAGGCATGATCACTAAAGGATATTTGATTTATTTATTTATTCAATAATAAAACTTCCAAATTCCAGACATTTTTCTAGGCCCCGAGGATACAATAATGAAAAAGACAGGGAAGAAACAAATAAATGCACAATTAAAAAAGAAAAAATGATAGAGAATGATAAATAATAATGGCAAACTCCCTCCTCCCTGCCAAAAAATACTTAAATTAAGGCTATTGAAATAGCGAGTAGCTCTTTCAGATTGAACCATCAGAGACGATGTCTAAGAAAGTAACATTTAATCCAAGATTAAATTAGCATTAGAGGCCAGCCATACCATATCCGACTGCATGTGTGAGTCACTCCATCACATAAAAAACAAAGGAGGAGCTCAATAAAAGCCAAGACCCTGATAACCTCTGTTGATGGAATATGTTATTTTTAATATTTTCAGTGTTTTGGTCTGTTTTGTGCTGCTATAACAGAATGCCTGAGACTGGGTAATTTATAAAGAACAGAAATTTATTTCTTAGAGTTCTTCGGGCTGGGAAGTCCAAGATCAAGGCACTACCATGTGATGCAGGCAGAAGGTGGAAGGACAAAAGGGAAGAAACCTCATGTCCCCACATGGTGGAAAAGCAGAAGTGCAAGAGAGAACCAGGTTTTTCTGTCAAGCACCTTTATAAGGATTCTTAATCCCATTCATGAGGAGTATCACGGACTAGTCACCTCTTAAAGGCCCCATCTCTTAATACTATCACACTGGCAAAAGCTGAATTTTGGAGGGGACACATTCAAATCATAACATTCAGTAATTGTCTTCCTAGCCAGAATCTGATTTTGTTTTTTGCCATGATGAACCATAGTGGGGCACTCCAGGTAATAAGGCAATGGGGTAATGTATCTTTCCTTATCCATCTTTTTCTGCATTTTGCAATGAATAAGTATTACCTTTGTAATTAGGGACTATGTGAAAACTTGAAATCAATGACACAATTATTTAATGCATGGAGAAGTAAGTAGGATATGAAGACACCAAAATGTGGCAATTTCTGTCTACGCTTTTTTGTATTTTTCAAATGTTCTGAAACTTTATTAATTTTATTTTTATGGTAAAATTATTAATATGAAACTCTTTATAAGAGCTCTTCTCAGTCATCAAAGTATTTCTTTTCTTTTTACTTTTTTTTTTTTTTTTTTTTGAGACAGGATCTTACTTTGTCACCCAGGCTGGAATGCAGTGGCCCAATCATGGCTTACTGCAGCCTCGACCTCCTGCACTCAAGCGATCCTCCCACCTCAGCGTCTGGAGTAGCTGGGACCACAGGCGTGTGCCATCACACCTTACAAATTTTTGTGTATTTTGTACAGATGGGGCTTCACCATGTTGCTCAGGCTGGTCTCAAACTCCTGGGCTAAAACAATCTGTCTGCCTCAGCCTTCCAAAGTGCTGAGATTACAGGCATGAGCCACAGTGCCTGGCCAAAGTATTTCTTTATACATGTGTCTTTATGTGTATGATTATTTATATACCTATATATATAATACTGACAACTGTTAAAGATACCAAAAAGCACAAAGACGAGTAAAAAGAGTGAATATAACACAACAAATGCCAACTCAGAGAGAACAAGTGTTAACATTTTGTCCTGCTTGTTTCCAGGGTTTTAAAAAACTAAGTAAATAAAACATTCAAATTCTTCTGATCCCATTCCCATACCTCCCTTCCTCCACTGGGAGAACCAATATCATGATTTGGTGTGGATCTTTCTTATCATTTTGTCACTTTGTATACATTTGCCTGTCTCTTTATCTGTTTATCTACCTACCTATCTATCTGCCTATCATCTATCTATCTGATCATTCTCTGTATATTTCTAATTCTGCAGAAAGAAGGAACAGAAGGAGCTCTTGCTTGAGTAAGGCACTGGTCATGCCTCAATTAGAACCCATGTAAGTGAAGTTCCTTTGTAATGAAGTCAGTGCAGTTAAATGAAAAAAAGTTGGGGGGGGGGCGAAATTCAAGAATCATGCAAAAATACAGTTGATGGGAACCATATGTCCGAGTGGCCGCATTCCAATGAACAAGGCAAATCCACAGATGTGCTGGTCGTAAATTCCTCCCAAATCCTATTGTGTCCACAAGGTAACTAAAGGTAAATAGGACTAACCTTTATCACTGCTCCCTAAAAAGCGGCCATGGGTCCCAGTGTGTCTGTCTCTCCCCATCTCCCAAATCAGCAGTCACTTACCATCTGCTACTCTGAGCCCTCCCAGTTTCCAGAAGGAGACAGTGTCTCATAATAATCACTTACCCCTCTTGACTGGTAGATTAATCTTTAGCACATGAGTTTCAGTCGCTGTGATACCCGAATACGTCATTTTAAGCCTCTCATCTCCAGTTGAAGAAGGAGAACCCTTAGCTTTACCCACAGCTAAAGGAATCTGGGGAATCAGCCAGCAGGTGCTGAGGTGTGTTTGTCATGGGGGAGGGGTTCTTGAGTGCAAATCTGATTTAGATCTTCTGACCCATGGGTGCCCATTAGAATCACCGGTGAGCTTTTAAAAATAACAGCAATTACTTGGGCTTTCCCCCCAGAAATTCTGATTTAATTAGCTTGGGGTTGGGCTTGGGCATTCATGCTTTTAAAACTTCCCCTGCAGACACTAAAGGAAAAATACTGTATGATTCCATTTATATAGGGTACCCAGAGTAGTCAAATTCATAGAGGAAGAAAATAGATTGGTGGTTGCCAGGGGGCTGAGTAGAAGGGAGTGAATTGTGGCCTAATGTACAGAGTTTCAGTCTGGGAAGATGGAAGAGTTCTGAAGACGGACGATGATGATGATTGCACAGCAATGGTGATGTATTTAATGCCAATGAACTGTATACCTAATAGTGGTAAAAGTGGTCAGTTTTATGTCACATATATTTCACCACACTAAACAAAGTGAAGTATGTAAGCTCCTGTGGTGATTCTACTGTGAAATCCTGTCCAGAGCTGCCTTATACTACCTGTGATGACTGTTGAAAGGGAGGGTCCTCTTGATGAGTTGGGTCCTCCTTCTTCCCACCCTGCTGCCCCGGGAGGCTCAGCTGAGTGCCCTTCTGGTTTCAGCTTTTGCTGCTATTGGAGGGCAAAGGAGTTCACTTTTCTTTTAAGATTTGGCCTGTCAGCTGCCCAAGACTGGTTCTGGAAACCCTCTCGATGCCCCCTGTAAGCGTCTCTGCATCCAGTAGCAACTTTTCACAATAGAGAGTAGAATGGCAATCTCATACCAGAAGGGGTTTTATTTATTCTCTGGTCTCTTCTGATATCTATGGCTGGAGCCTCCTCCCCTTCCTCTCTTTTTCCAGACTTACGCATGCTTCGTTTGATTCAATCACATAATCTGACTCATGAAGGTATAAATCATGCAAGAATAACCAGCCAGTTAATGTCAAATAGGGACGACCATATGTCCATGGGGATGACTAGTTCTTTGTATCTTTTCCAGTGAAATGTGCTTATCTAGTTTATAATTCCATTGTTAGTGGAAAGTATATGAATTTGACTCAGCCCCTGTCCTACCTTCTGAGGGGAAGTCCAATGCTCTGCCCAATGTTCCCCCTCCCGTCTGGCTTGGAGTGTCTGAATCTGCTCAAGCGGTGCCTTACTTGCAAACACATTCTGCAGAAGCTCCCTTTGCTCCGTTTCTGCACTGACCCAGATGGGAGACTCGGCTCCTTTCCACGGATTGTCACCTCTAATATCTGGAAAACAAAACAAAACAAAGCAAAACAAAAACACATGCAAAAGACATTTGTTCGCTCAGCAGGCTTTATTATGTGTATGAGGATGATGATATCATCCCAAAGCAAAGTTCTCAATATTGGGTATTCAATATTTCTGTTCTTAAAAGTCCTTCAGTAATATCAGATGATTCTATTCCTATAAAGTCCCCAACTGGTGAAAGGAAGCTAAGGTATTAGAAGTCAGGTGAGTGGTTAGCATGGTGGGGGAGTGACTGAGTGGAAGCATTAGGGGGCTTCTGGTGTTCTAGTAGAGTTCAATTTCTTGATTAGATGCTAGTTACACATGTGATTTTGGAAAAGCCACTGAACTCGTGATTTGTGCTCTTCTCTGTATTTATGTTATGCTTCAATAATAAAGTTTATGTTAAAAACTAAAGAAAAGATAAGAAGTCTCCAACCACCTCATGTGCAGGCAGGTTACTCAACTCTGCAGAGAGGGACAGAAGGGTCTTCTACCAACCCAGCATCTGCACCCCTGAAGTCAGACATGGCTGTGGTCGCTTTTGGGTTTTGACCTGTTAGCAATGTTTTCAAAAAGGACCAAGAGAATGCAGGCATACAAGCACTTTGTGGATGGTGGGCCCTGTGCAGATTTGGCCTGTCACAAACCCTGCTTCATACACATCCTCATAGCAATCACAGCAGTGAAAACTGGGAAGACTCGCCCAGGTGCCCGCTCCCCACTGGCCCGCCCTTACTCCCTCCACCTCTCCACAGCAACTCATCCTTTGGACCACCCAAACCTGTCAGAAGAGTGTCTCCGTCTCCATTTTTGACTTTCCAGAGAGGTCTGAAGCCACCTCCACACAGTGAGGTGGCAGACTTGTGGACAGGTCCTGAAGCCATACCAGGAGCTGACCAGCCCCAGAAAATGAGGACATGGCTGCAGGGATAGAAAGCCAAACTGTGGGTCAAGGGGACTTCAGCCTGTCCATCTGGGGGCACGCTTAAAGGTCTATGATGGGGCCAAAAAGAAAGGTGCAGGCTAAGGACAGAAGGACAGCTCAGCCTGAACAGCCCCATCCTGCAGCCCACCCCAGCCCTGAGCCTCTGGAACTCTATCACTGCATCCTGGGGCACCTGCCCCCCAAGCCCCCACCCCAGGAAGAGTATCTATGCTGTCAGAGGCTGCAGACGGTGCCAGCAGAAGGTGGAGAGGAAGCTTGGGGCCTTTGGTGGGTGGGACGCATCAACACACACAGCCGCAGCAGCTGCACATAGATCAACAGGCCATCCGTGCCTCGAACACCTACATCAACGGCCAAGGCCTTGGCCACCCTGCCCAGCTCCGTGCACCGCTAGTTGCCTTGGTGGATCACAGCCGCTCCACGCTCCACAGGAAGAATCCCAAACCCGGTGACCGGCTGCCCCAGCATTCCAAGTAAGACCAGTTCCTCAAGGTCCTCCCTGTTCTTCCTCACCATCTGTTTTGTCCTTGGAGGATGAAAGAACTTAGCAAGGATGATATTAAGGAGACAACCGCTTTCTCTGTCTCTTCCACAGGTACCTGCTGCTGATACCTCTACCCTTGGTTAGACACAATTCCAGCAGGGCAGGACCACTTGCCCTGAGGAGAAGAGCCCAGGGACTCGTCACAGGCAGGGAACCACTGCCTCTTCTATCCTGCCTGGAGCATAACGGCGGTCCAATGAGTAGACAGGTGGACTCACCACTCAGGTAAGTGCTTCCCGGGGCAGCAGGAGGTGCCTCAATAATGGCATTTTGCCCTTGTGCCTTCAGTCACACCCGTCTGCTCTGCCCAGGCATAAAGCTGATACATGGGAATGGTGTGTGCCATGGCAATGAAGATCATCATTATGACCATGGTGCCCGCATGCCAGGACTCTGCGGCCTGGAACTACAAGTCCAGTCTGATTCACAGGAGCATCCACATTCTGACGCCTCTTAGCCCCCACCTGATCACAGAGGCTCTTAGGGTCTTGCAGAGTTTCCCTTCAGCACCTGCGCTGAGGGAGACTCTGGAATCTCACCGGCCCAAGAATCAGTCCTTGTGGCTGCTCTGGCAGTGGGTTGCTGGTCAGGTGCAAAGGTATTGCCCGTGCTGACGGCTGGGCACTGATCCCACACTCGCCACCCTCCACAGCTCCCAGGGAAGCTGCAGCTGGCTGGGTGGAGCCCTCTTGACCTCAGGTGGCCTGGAGTGCTGCCATCGCCATGGGGGACGCTCTTACTACCGGCTGGGCTGGGTCTCTGAGCCTGGGTCTCCACTGACAGCAGCCTCCACAGCTGTCCCTGCATGGTTTCAGATCTCTGCCAGTCTCTGTAGGGAATGATGCTTATGCCAAGAGGGAGGGAAGCAGCTCTTTTATCCCTGGAGGGTGGTGGGGGGTACACAGGAACGTTCTTTGAGTTCTGCAGGATTCTACCTTTCTCCTCCACCCTCCACCCAGACGATCATCTTCCCAAAGCACGTTCGTGCTGCTGTGGTAGGCTGGGTTGGGGTCGGGTTGAGGATCAGCCTCCCAGAGTTTCTGAAACCCCAAAGTCACTTAGGCCCTAAGAGTGGGGAGACGAATGTGGATTGTAACAGGAGATACCTTTGTCCGGTAAAGTAAGTGTTCTCTTTGGTTCCATGCTGTTTCTTCTTACAATGGCTTGTATCAGGGATGCCCAGGGTATCAGTTGTCTCTGAACTGTGACTATTAACAAAGTTCAAATTCTTTGAACAGCCCCCACACAGTTCAGCAGGTACAGACCTTATGGGAGAGGAGGGGCCTTGTGGACATAGTTATTCTGTTTGGCTGTTCAGCATCTGAGCCTTGTTCCTCTATCTAAGGAATTCCCCATCTCATAAGCAGGTAGGAGGCAGAGCTCAGTTCTGCATAATACCCCACCATGGGCACCTTGTTACATTTTACCACTCCATTCTCCCCGCAATGGGCACTCAGGTGATCTTCAACTCCCTGCCACCATAAAAAACAAGCAGTGATAACATCTTCATATGTGCTCCCTATGGGTCCGCATGAGAACTTCCCTGGGGTATTATGCAGAGACTAGACGCCTTGAATTAGATGTCACACTGCAACGTGGTTGGGTGTTAAAAATATAAAAAGGAGGAAACAGAATAAGACCTATCATGTGGTAGCTTTCAAACAGGTTTTTTAAATGTATGCAAATAAATCAACAGTACACATTTGCAAGAACACATTCAAATAAAGTTGCCCATTAACATGGTAAAATAGCTACCTGTGGAGGAAGGGGAATGAGAATAGGGACTAGAGATAAAAGAGAAGTCAGTCAATACAATAATGAAATGGCTTTGTGCAACCCAAGAATAATTATACATCGTGGGTATAGAAACTGGAATAATTCAAACCCCTTCCACCCAGGCGAACAAATGAAACAAACAAAAACAACAGGTACATGATATGTACATAACATCTCGATTCTATAAGATGGAGTGTGAGAAATGGCCACATGAGACAAGGCAGGGAGAGACCCTGCCTGTGTTAGGAGAATCAGAGCAGGCTTAACAAAGAGGCATCATGTTTGAGTTAATGTAATGATCTAAGAACAGGCCTTTTCCAGGTGGCTCACATCGGAGAGGTCTACTCAAAGAGGAATTTGTCCACCCACTTATAGAGACCTTGGGACCAAATCCATATCTGATTACCACTGGGAAGCCCAGTCATCAGAGATGCCTTCATACATGGGTGGATGGTCATGGAGACAGGAAGATGGCCTCGAAGCTGGGCCCAGTGGCATGGGCTAGGTCATAGGCCATAGGGAGTGGCTGGTTATAAATTGCTCTCTGTATTATAATGCATTATTTAGTCCCCTTATAAAACTCAACTGTGGGTGAATAAAAGGAAGGATCTAAGTTCAGCCAGGAAAGAAGTGGTACCAAGGGGCATTAGAGATTCCCTGCCAACTGTTTCCAGTAATGGTAGACTAAGGGATAAATCACCATTACTTCTAAAGACAGCTACAAAAGTTAGAGGAGATATCAAACTATCTTCTTAATAGCACTGCAGGCCTCATTAATAGAGCCGAACAGGGAGGGGTAAGAGCCTAAACTGGTTACTTGGGATGTGTTCACTTCCTGGGAGAAGGCAGCTGACATGCCAAGGTCCTTGGGTGAGTGTGAGGGGTCATATTGCATTACATAGTGTCCTGGAGATGTGCAAGTCACTTGTACCCCACTGATATGTTTACCCTGGGCTGTCTGCCAATCCTCAGAACCATGTGAGGTGAGCAGGGTGAACAGTACTTTTGGGGGGCTCCCTAGAGCTGGAGGAACAGTTGGTGTCTACTGTTAGTAAAGAAGGAAACTTAGTATGAGCCCACTATGTGCTCTGAGTAGTGGCCCCAAAGGGCTGCATCTGGAAAAGGGGGTGGGTACTGGCCCTGTGGACATACAGAACAGCCTCAAGCCTTATTCCCGGACTGCTAGTTCCCTCAGGTGTTGGAAAAAAGGAAAAAAAAAATCCTCTTTGGAAGAGGATCCTAGATTTCAAATTAACTCTCAAAAGAGCCATTTCAAATAAATTGTCCAGAAAGCACAGAGGCACAAGAGCTACATGAGACAAAACACCACAAGTCAGAATCAACAGAAACTGTGGACCATAGAAATAGACCCACCGGATCCCAGATATTAGAATAACTCGATACAACCTGTAATGAAACCGTGCTTACTGTGTTCATGGAGATAAAAATTGAATTTAAAATTTTATGTAAGGATATAAAAATTTTGAAAGCAACGGTGAAGATTTTAAAAAGAACCATTTGATATTATAGAACTGAAAAGTATGATAACTCAATAAAGAACTCTATAGAAGAGTTAAGAGCTAATAATTGGTGGAAAGGAAGATAAGTCAGAAGAAACTATCCAGAATGAAGTCCAGAGAGGCATAAAGATGGAAAATACAGATAAGAAGATAAATAAAATAGAAGACACAGGGAGATAATCCAATATACGTTTAATTGGAGTTCTAGAAGAGAGGAGAGAGAGAATGGAGCAGAGGCAATATTTGAAGAGATAATGGCTGAGAATTTTCCAAAATTGATGAAATAACACAATCCACTGATTCAGGAAACCAAAGGAGAGATTCCTACAAGAACTAGGAAGCTTCAGGAACCAGGCATTTGTTAAAGCATAAATGTCTCCTGTGGAAGTTCCCTTTTCATGACAAGGGAAGAAAGCACTTGAGGGAGCCGGTGGGTTTCTTTGCAGAAGAGTTTTTGGTTTTGTTGTTTGCTTGTTTTTGAAGATAGGAGAGATTTGATTATGTTGAAAAGCTGAGAGAATAAACCAATTGAGAGGGAGAGGCTGAAGCCACAGGAGAGAGGAGGAGTAATTCATGAAGCATGAAGAAGTTTTTAGAGGGCACAGGGACCGAAACTATGAAAATAATAACAGCTATCCTTTACTGAGCATTACATGTCAGAGCTCTCTCAGGAAATTGGTCACACATTGATACTAATTCTTATAATCGTTAACGATGAGTATTTCTATTCAAATATCCTTATGTTAATTGATGTTCTAAAGAGAGAGAGAGAAAAAATCTTGGTCATATAGCTAGTAAGTGGTGGCAGTGGGATCAAAATCTGGTCTGACTTACTCCAAAGCCTGTGCCCTTTCCACTCTACCAGCTGCTTCCAGAGCTCCAGCTGGCCTCCTCTTTGTCTGAGATAGGATGCAAGGAAGAGAGGATGAGTGTGGAAGTGAAGATGTTTGGAGATATTGTAGAATACAGGAAGTTGAAGTAATTCAGGCTGGAGGCTAGGTCATTCCCAGGAAAATGTAAGGGATTCTACCTGCAGAGTTCGAAGGATGTGGGAATTCAACAGAGGAGCTACCAAGGAAGGGCCGACCAGGGGAGAGGGAGAGGAAAGTAGCCAAGGTGAGGCGAGCCAAGTGCCCAAACCATCAATGGCAGCATGTAGCGGTGCTCCAGAGGCAGAGAGAGGAGATCAAGAAACGTGGGGCGGAGAGGAGAGGGGAAGAGTTTGAGAAGAAACAGAATACGTCACAGTCTCAAAGCATCTCCCCCCAAATATTTATTAATTACAAAGGGAAAACTAGTCATTTTACAGTGGGGAAACCAGCAGACATCACTATAACAAAGTGATCTCAAAATATTGTTTATTAAAAGAGACAATGAGACGAAGCTCCTGGCAAGGAATAAGTGACTAAACCATGGCTGTTCTGTGGTCTTTGCAGTAATAACAATATCCTAAATGACCTGCGGCCAAAAGATCTCCCCACCTCATCCCACCTCAGTGCCAGGTTCATCTGTGCTAATGTATCACCGAGTCCTAAAGGATGACTGAGTCGTCCTTGGGTAACACGTGGTTAACGCGTGTGCATTTGACAGGGGTCTTCTGTAATAATGGGGTGATTCTCACGCGTGGGCGGGATTCAGGCACGGCAGCAGCATTGGGAGAAGTGCTTTGGGGCTGGGGTGAGAGGAGTTTGGGATCTCCACGGGTACTAGGTGCCCCCGCTGTCCTCTATGGTTGGGCTCTTGCGTGCGGCGGCAGATCCCGGGCGGCGCTTCGGCAGATCCTGGATGGCGCTTCGGCAGATCCTGGATGGCGCTTCGGCAGATCCCGGACGGCGCTTCGGCAGATCCTGGACGGCGCTTCGGCGGGGCTGGCCTCCCGCACACACTCGGGTCTCCAGAGTCGGGTGTGCGCGTTGGGGACGCTTCGTCCTGCAGTTGAACGCCCTGAAGCGGGAGAATCAGCGGCCTCCCCGACCCTGACTGCGCTGTAGGGTCTATGAGCTCCTCTGCAGCGCCCGACCTCCTTCGCCAGCAGCCCCAGCCCCCTGCGCAGAACCAGTCTACGCGGACGCCGGAGTCCCCCTGGGCTGCTGGAGAGCCCGAAAGCTCCCGGGGCCGTGTCTTCTGGGAAACGCGCCAATGCCCTCTAGTGGGCGAGCTTTGAACTTCCCTGAGGCCCTACACTGACCTGAGCAGGGGAATTAAATCTCCGGAGCGTCACCCGTGTCTTGCCGAGAGCGGGGCGCAGTGCAGCCCTGGAAGGGCGGAGAGAGTGAGGATGGTGCACACCCGAACCAGCTGGGTCGAGTCAGCCCCCTCCCAGGAGGGCGGCGTGGTCTCCTCCTGCCTCATCGTCCCCCTCCCCGTCCTTCACTCCTCCCAGCTAGAATTGGCACCATCCACTCTTCACTCTCCTTGAGCGAAAAGAAGGGAGACTTGAACACATCTATGCGCCAGGCAGCTTCACTTCTTCATCTGGAAGCTATTTCTAAAAAGGATTTGAAGTGATCACAAAGGCTTACAAGGGAACTAAAGAAAGATGGGGAAACAAAGACGCACGGGCTAGCACTGAAAATGTCTTAAGACCCTGAACGGTCACTAGACCCGGAGTAGAGATAGGACGTTAAACTTCCAAACCCTTAGAGCGTTAAGAAAGACGAGACCGGGAAAACTCCAACAGTCCTTCAGGAATCAGGAACAAAAGACCAAGGCAAGGGGAAGCAAAAGAGGAAGGGGCAGGGAAGCCATGGTAACTAAAAATAGAAAGGAAGGACAAAAGGAGAAACCACAGAACAGAGCAAAATTACTGCAGACGGATTAAACTCCCCTATTAAAAAAAAAAAAGTAAAAAGCCTAAAACGGCCTATCTACCTAGCTTCTAAGATACATAGCTGTAACAAAGTGACATTTAGAGTTTCAAAATAAAGAGGTCAGTGAGGATATACCAGGAAAGGGCTAACATCTGTACATCCCTCCAGTTGGGGGCCTAACTCTAAAATACAGCTCACTTCCACCCGTGTGTCTTCTTCGCCCCGGTGCCACTTCCTAAGGCACACCACAGTGACTTCCCACCTGTCCCATAGCTATAGCTTTCTAATTGGCGTCCTTAGCCCCCCTTGCCTTCCTCCCTACAAAGCACATATAATATTCTTTCAAAAACATAAATAAGAAGCTGGGCGTGGTGGCTCACGCCTGTAATCCTAGCACTTTGGGAGGCCAAGGTGGGTGGATCACCGGAGGTCAAGGGTTCGAGACTATCCTGGCGAACACGGTGAAACCCCATCTCCACCAAAAAATACAAAAAATTAGGTAAGTGTGGTGGCAGGCACCTGTAATCGCAGCTACTCGGGAGGCTGAGGCAGGAGAACCGCTTGAACCTGGGAGGTAGAGGTTGCAGTAAGCCAAGATCCTGCCACTGCACTCCAGCCTCGGCGACAGAGCCAGACTCCATCTCAAAAAAAAAAAAAAAAAAAAAAAAAAAAAGCATAAATCTGGCTAAAGTCCTTCAATGTCTTCTTATGGCATTTAGAGTCAAGTTCAACCTTTTTACTCTGGCCTACAGCCCCCACACCACCCCACTTTCTCTCACAACACCCTCTTCCCTTCTAGCTGCTGTCCCAGTGGCCTTCTTGCTGTTCTTCAAACCCACCCTGGCACACACTGTTCCCTCTGGCTGGAATGCCGTTCTTGGAGCTCTTCCTCTCCTTGCCTGGGTCCTAGCTTCAGGATCTCCCCTGGAGGAAATCCTTTCCTGGCCACTGTGTCTGGAGTGAGGCCCTTTGCCTAGCTACTCTTCATCACTGCTCTGTTTATTTCCTGCAGAGTACTTTTTACAGTCTGTGAATATCTTGTTTATTTATTTGCTTATTTATGTCTTCTCTAGTAGAATGTTTACTGCAGTCTTTTGGGTTCTTCTCCATGTATAATCATAGTATCTGCAGGTAAATATAACTTTTTCTGCTGTTAGAATTCGTTCTTATACTTTCTTTTTTCCCCAATAATGCAATTGAGCCTTTAAAACATGTTGAATAATAATGATCATGGTAAGCATCCCTTCTTTGTACTTTCCTAATTTAATGGAAATAGCTTGAGGGTTTCATGGTTTTAGTAAGAAAGATATTTGCTATTGACTTCTGGTAAATATTTTTCATCATATTTAAGAAATGTCTTTCTATTCCTACATTACTTTTACTTTTCCAATTTCTTCCTGGGTAACTGACCTATTTAAATTTTCAATCTCTTTTGATATCAGTTTATGTTTTTCTAGGAATTCAACAATTCCTAGATTTGTTGAAACAAATCTCTAGATTTTCAAGTTGGGTGCCCTAGGGTTGTATGTAATATTGTCTTATAATTATTTTTCTCTCTTTTTGTATCTGGCATTATATCACCCTCTTAATTTCTAATATTGCTTGCATTTGATTTCTTTCATTTGTTCCTAATGGTCGGCAGGGGATATCTATTTATCTTACAAAAATTAGATTTGGCATAAAACTACTGTATGATCCAGAAATTCTGCTCCTATGTATATATGCAAGAGAATTGAAAGCAGGAACTTCAACAGATATTTGTACACTCATGTTCATAGCAGCATTATTCACAGTAGTCAAAAGGTGAAAGCAATCTAAGAGTTCATCAGCAGATGAATAGATAAACAAAATGTGGTATAAACAGAGATAGAACATTATTCAGCCATAAAAAGAAATGAAATTTTGATATATGCTGTAACATGAGTATGTCTTTTTTTTTTTTTGAGACAGAGTCTTGCTCTGTCGCCAGGCTGGAGTGCAGTGGCGCAGGCTGGAGTGCAGTGGTGCGATCTCGGCTCACTGCAACCTCCACCTCCCGGGTTCAAGCGATTCTCCTGCCTCAGCCTCCTGAGTAGCTGGGACTACAGGCGCGTGCCACCACGCCCAGCTAATTTTTGAATTTTTAGTAGAGACGGGGTTTCACCATGTTGGCCAAGATGGTGTAACATGAATATATCTTAAACATTATGCTATGCGCAATTAACCAGACACAGAAGAACAACTATTGTATCACTGTAGAAAGTAAAATAGAGGTTACCACTGGTGGGCAGAGGGAGGAAGGGTGAGTTATTGTTTTAATGCATACAGAGTTTTTACTGGGAATCATAAAAAAGTTTTGGGTATAGATAATGGTGATGGTTATACAACATTGTGAATGTATTTAATGCCACTTAATTGTACATCTATGAAAGGTTAAAATGACAAATATGTATATTTTACCACCATAAAAAGTTAGATTTCGGATTTTTTTAAAAAATTCTTTCCATTTATTTTTGACACTTTCACTAGTTTTGGCATTTACTTTTGCTAATTACCATGACTGAAGTATTTGTTCCATTTTTAATTTTCTAAAATGAGTTCCATATTCCTTTAATTTCAGTTTTCTTTAACAATGAAGGCATTTAAGACTGTGATTTTTCCTTCGAATATGAGTTTAGCATACCAAAAAATAGGATTCATTGCTTTCTAGATAGTTTTTATTCCAATTTTGATTTATGTATTGATCCAGGGTTTTTTTATTCTAAGCAGTTAATAGTTTAGTGGTCATCTTTTTATTATTATTCTCTTATATTCTAAAATATTTATCAGAAAATACCCTGCAAAAATCTTCACTTTTTTGAATTTTTCAAGCTTTGTTTGTGGCCAAGTACATGACTGATGTCTATCTATCTGTCTATCCATCTATCTATCTATCTATCATATCTATCCATCTATATCTATCATCTACCAATGTGTTATTTACATAAGAAAAAAGCATCTTCTATATTTGCATGTTTCACAGTTCTATACACATCTATTAAATTGAGCTGGTTGATTGTAATACTCAGACCTTCTATGTCCTGGCTAATTTTTATCTTCTAGATCTGTCAGATTTTGAAAGATGTAGATTAGAATCTTCCACCGCAGTTTACGTGTGCATGTTTTTAAATAACATTCTCCACGTTTCTAACAGTTTTTGCCTTATAGATTTGACTGCCATGATGTTTAGTGTTTAGAGATTTACGTTTAACATCTTCTTAAAGTGTGCCTTTTATCATTACATATTATCTCTGTCTCATTTAATACTTTTAACCTTCAATTTCATGTTGTCATTTTAGCTTTTTCTTTGTATTTGCCTGGTATTTCTTTTTTTCTTTCAGAAAACATTTGCTTTATTCATTTGTTAAATTCTTATGGGTTGTCATTCATAAGGCACATAGATGTAGGTATTGTGGACACCAGCATATGTTGATTTTACAATATTCTGGGAAACAAATAAATAAATCAATAATTACAATATCCTGAGACGTGGATATGACAATTTGGTAAAAATGCTAGACCACATAGAAAGGGCATCTTAAGCAGGCAGAGGGGCTCAAAGAAATCTCCCCAGACGAGGGCAACTTTGAGCTGAGACAAGATTAATGTGAAAAAGGACTTTCTTCCTAAGTGGTTCTGTTTTATGATGGAAAACTTTCTTTAAAAAAATTTTGAAGATTCATAAATGACTGCAGAGCATTTCCTTATGGAACTACTATGGATAATACAGATATTGTAGCATAGTATCTATATTAATCTATATCATCTATGGCAGTTCCACAGGGAAATGCCCTGAGGTCATTTATCAGATATCACAATATATGTATGCCTGGTATTTCTTTAACCATCACTTTGTTTTAGATGTGCTTCCTACAAAAATTATACATTTTAATTTGGTTTTTCAATCCAACCTGAGAGTCTTTATCTTTCATATGAATATTCAGCTCTTTCACACTTAGTGTAACAGCCGATATATTTGATTTTATTCTTTCCATCTTTTTTTATTTTTACTATTTGTCTTAATTTTTATCTTTTTCCTCTTTTCTAATGTATTTTCATTACTATTCATTTCTTTCTCCCCCTTTGTTAAATTAGAAGCACTCATGGGCTTTCCTAATCAAAACTAGATTTATTTACTGTTGTATCAAAACATGGCAACAACCTGCTGCCACACCCCCAGGTGCTCACTGCTTGGGCGCCCTCCTCCCAGTGAGATAAATCCTTTAAAACACCTTTGCTTCCTCACTGTTCCCAAATATTCTCAACTCCTTGTTTTTTTCAAAGACGGTTCAGTGTTCCTGACTTATAACTAATATTAAGTTTGTCCCTTATGATAAAACCGTTCTTACTTCACACTCATATTACAAATTTTCGCACTATTCTCATCCATTTAAATCTAACAATATATAATGCAAACATCATTTCTCAGTAACTGTCTCCCTTTCTTTCTCATATTTCCTTTTGTTGAAGTCTCTAGATTCATTTCTTATTTGGTTATTCTTGGCATCTTTCTTTTACTTGACAGGTAAGTGGTCTTTTACCTGTGTATAAGATTCATAGGTCCCTGTCCTTTCTCTTAATATCTGTAGTTATTAGTCTATCATCCCTTAGACCCTAGGGCTGTGGCAAAACAAAACAAAACAAAAACAAACAAACAAACAAAAACCTCCTATCAAGCTAGTAATATAAGGAAACTTCCTTAATACAGTAAGGTTACCTACAAAAAAAACTTATCACAAACATCATAATTAATGGTACAATGCTGAAACTTTTCACCTTTAGGTCAGGAATGAGGCAAGGATGCTCAATTTCACTATTTCCACTTAACATATTATTGTATATCGAAGCCGGTGAGAGAAGGCAAAACAAAGACATAAAAAATTATATTATTTAGGCCGGGCACGGTGGCTCACATCTGTAATCCCAGCACTTTGGGAGGCTGAGGCGGGTGGATCACGAGGTCAGGAGATTGAGACCATCCTGGCCAACACGGTGAAACCCTGTCTCCACTAAAAATATAAAAAAGTAGCCAGGCATGGTGGCAGGCGCCTGTAGTCCCAGCTACTCCACAGGCTGAGGCAGAAGAATGGCGTGAACCCTGGAGGCGGAGCTTGCAGTAAGCTGAGATTGCACCACTGCACTCCAGCCTGGGGGACAGAGAGAGACTCCATCTCAAAAAATATATATATAAAATAAAATAAAAATTGTATTATTTAAAAGAAGGAAATAAAACTATCATTAGCTGTAGGCAGTGTGACTGTGTATGTAAACATTCTAGAACAATCTAAAGATAATATGTTTAATTTAATGAATGGATTTAACAAGAATGCTGGCTCCAAGGTTGATATACCAAATATAGCACTGATTTGTAGCTCACTATTATTGCCACGTGTAACAACAGGAAATAATCCCACAAACATAATACAGAGAGAAAGGAGCAAAGGATTAAAACAAATACAGCATCATCTCATTCTTTTTTTTTTTTTTTTTTTTGAGACGGATCTCGTTCTGTTGCCCAGGCTGGAGTGCAGTGGTGCGATCTTAGCTCACTGAAGTCTCTGCCTCCTGGGTTCAAGCTATTCTCGGGCCTCAGCCTCCCAAGCAGCTGGGACTACAAGTGTGCACCACCATGCCTGGCTAATTTTTGTATTTTTAGTAGAGACGGGGTTTCACCATGTTGGCCAGGCTGGTCTCTAACTCCTGACCTCAGGTGATCTGCCGGCCTCGGCCTCCCAAAGTGCTGGGATTACAGACGTGAGCCACCACACCCAGCCTCATTCTATTTGAATAATATATTTTTTTAAACTAAGATATATTGTTTAGAGATATACATATACTGTTTATTACAGAAATCAGGCATTTCAGAAATTAGAAATCCCTCCCTGGTGGGGAGGGAGATTATTGTCTATAAGGGGCACAATGGAGCAGGAGGAGCAGTTCTAAGGTGTTGACAATGGTTTTTTTTTTTTTTTGAGACGGAGTCTCGCTCTGTCGCCCAGGCTGGAGTTCAGTGGCGCGATCTCGGCTCACCACAACCTCCACCTCCTGGGTTCACGCCATTCTCCTGCCTCAGCCTCCTGAGTAGCTGAGACTACAGGCGCCCGCCACCATGCCCGGCTAATTTTTTTTGTATTTTTAGTAGAGACGGGGTTTCACCGTGTTAGCCAGGATGGTCTCGATCTCCTGACCTCGCAATCCGCCTGCCTTGGCCTCCCAAAATGCTGGGATTACAGGCGTGAGCCACCGCGCCCGGCCCGACAATATTTTATTTCTCTACCTGGGTTGTAGTTACACAACTGTTCACTTTATATTTATCATAAGCCATATATATGTGTGTATATATATATGCGTATGTATAAAATCCTAGTTTTCTATATAGAGATATATACCATGTTTATCAATAGGAAGACTCAATATCATAAAGTTGTCTACTTCCCCAAATTAGTCTATGAAGTTACTGGTTTTTTGGTTTGTTTGTTTTTGAGATAGCATCTCACCCTGTCACCCAGACTAGAGTGCAGTGGCGTGAGCATGGCTCACTGCAGCCTTAAACTCCTGGGCTCAAGCCACCCTCCCACCTCAGCCTCTGGAGCAGCTGGGACTACAGGTGAACGCCACCAAGCCAGGCTAAGTTTTTTTTTTTTTTTAATTTTTGTAGAGATGGGGCCTTGCTATGTTGCACAGACTGGCCTTGAACTCCTGGCCTCAAATGATCCTTCTGCCTCGGCCTCCCAAAGTGCTGGGATTATAGGTGTGAGCTACCGTGCCTGGCCCTGAAGTTACTGGGTTTTTTTTTTCTTTTTCTTTTTTATTATTATTATTTTTTTACCGCTTATCCTCAAGTTCTATGAAGTTACTGTTTTAATCAAAATTCCCAACAAAGATTTTTATAGAACTGGTATGCTAACTTTAAAAAAATGTACATTTCACAATAAAAATGCATGTAAAGTACTATAATAAAAGATGAAACAATTTTAAAAATAGAACTCTTGGAGTGGGGAAAGCCTTTCTAAGTAAAGGACAAAACTCAGAAGACAAAAAAGGAAAAATAGAACATGTGCAAATACATTAAAGCAAAATTCTGTATGGAAAAAACAAAAAAAGTAAAAAAAAATGAAAAGTTAGAAAAAATACGGCAACTCATATGTTATATAAATAGCTAATTTCCTCAATATATAGTTAGCTCTTACTATCAACATAGGAATAAATACAGCCCAAAAGAAAATCAGCATACAGCAAGAAAAGATGTATAAATGGCTTAAAGACATACAAAAAGATGGGTTCTATTTCAACCATAATTAAGAAAATGCATATTAAAGAAAAAATAAGTTCTTCATTTTAAAATTTGATAATATAAAGTGTTAGCGTGAATGAGGGCAATGCAGATAGGCAATTCTCATGCGTTTGTTGGAATTGTAAATTGTTGCAATCTTTTTAGAGAGCGATTTGGCAGTCTATCAAAATTACACATGCATTTATTCTCTGCCCATTCCTATAGGGATGCTCCCATTGTTGTAAAGCTGTATGTATAAGAATGATGATTGCAGTGTTGTTTGTTATTGCAAAAGACTGGACACAAGTTAACAGGGAACTGGAAAATGAACTGTGTAGTTATTTTTAAAATGAGCTAAACTTTATGCACTAACATGGGAAGATTACAAAGGGAAAAGCAAAGTGCTGAACTGTATTTTATACTTTAATTGGTGTCAAAAAAATGGATGGGATAGATTTGGAGAGAATATAATCATATGCATAATTGTAGGAGACTACAATATTTCTGGAAGGCTACACAAGAACCTGTAAGCAGCGGAAGCCTGCTGGTGGGGGAGCCGATAACCTGAGGTGGGCAGGTGGGCAGCTGAGTTCCATTTGTACGCTTTGTACTTTTTTTTTAAGAGATGGGGATCTTGCTGTGTTACCCAGGCTGAAGTGCAGTGGCTATTCACAGGCGCCATCATGGTGCACTACAGCCTCAAACTCCTAGGCTTAAGTGATCCTCCTGCCTCAGCTTTCTAACGTGACTACACTGTGCTCATGTCATTTTCCATTTTTTATAAATCTATTGCCCTATATTCTCGCTCTGTCTCTCTGTCTCCGTTTCTATTTGCCTCTCTATTACACACACATAAACTTTGTAAATTCTTAAGTGCATAAAAATTCTCCTGCTTTCTTCCTTTCTCCAAAGGTTCTAATACTTTTTGTCAAACTGGAGAAAACTCACTGTAGAGGCCATCTTCCCATGACCCCAATCTGCATGTTGATACAAATCATTAAATACTTTTAAGGATTATAACTGAAAAGGTTTACAATTAAAACCATACGTAAAGGTGTTGTTTTCCAATTATGAAAGTAAATCCTGGAGACTGCTGAAATTTTATAGAAATCAAGTATCTAGGAATAAATGTAACAAAAGATGTTAGATATATATGAAAAACTTTATTGAAGGATTTTGAAGAAGACCTAAATAAATGAGACATATTCCATGGTTATCAATAGGAAGACTCAATATCATGAAGATGTCAGTTTCCCTAAATTAACCTAGGAAGTCATTGTTTAAATCAAAATCCCAACAAAATGTTTATAGAACTGACAAGCTAATTCTAAAATATGTATGAAAATGCAGAGAACTCCAAATAGTTGAGATAGTCTTGAAAAAAAAATGTATGAATACATGCTCATCCAGAAATCAAGACTTATTATCAAGTTATAGTATGTGAGAGTGCAGTATTGCTAGAGGACAGAACAATGTAACAAAATAGAGAACCCAGAAACAGACCACCACTTACTGGGAAATTTGATTTATGGCAAAGCCAGCATTGCAGATGACTGGAAAAGGATGAGCTGTCCAATAAATGCTTTGACAATTATTATCCAAGGAGAAAGATGATCTCTCCACCACACCTTTACAAAGAATCAAATCCAGATAGATGTAAGACCAAATATAAAACGACAAAATTTAAAAACTTTTAGAAGAAAGTGTAGGGAAACTTATATCTTGGAAGAGGAAAAGGTACTTTAACCATGTCAACCAAAGTACAAACTTTAAAGAAAGAGGTAAATTAGAATATGTGCAGATGTAAATTTTCTGTGTCTTGAAAGACATCACAAATAGTTATAAGATAAGCCATGGAGTGAATGACAATATTTGCAACTCATCCATCTGATGAAAGATTAAGATACAAAATTTATAAAGAATTCTTAAAAACCAACAAGAAAATGTCAACAACCAATAGAAAAATAGGAAAAAGTTATGATCAAGACTTTACAGTATAAAAAATACCAATAAACATAGGAACAAATGCCTGACCTCTAACCCCATGGTAATTAGGGAAATGCAAATTTAAACCATGAGAAGTAACCACACCCATTACACTGGAAAAGAACTGACGTGATGAGAGGCAGTGTTGAGGGCTGGGAGTGTTACTACAATGACTCATCTGCTGCTGGCAAGATCGCTTTGGAGAACGACTGGGCAGTAATTTGTAGCACTGAAGTTAGGCATCCCTTGCAATGTCTGTGGCCAATGCTAGGTGCACTCCATAGAAACTCACATGTGCACAAGAAGACACAGACCAGAATGTTCATCGCGGCACTGTTTGTAATAAGAACAAAATGGAAACATTCTAAATTTTCACAGCAGGAGAATGGATCAATACATTTAGTATGATATTAACAAGTCTACTATACTGCAGTGAAAATGATTTTTTATTTCTTAAAAAACAACAAACATATGTAGTGCCATGTGCCAGGCTCTGCTCTACGTTTTTGAGAAATATTAAGTCATATTTACTGAATGAACCAGAGCCAGATTCATCAACATGAGTCGACATGGATGAATCCCCAGAGCACCAAGTTGACTTAAAAAAGCAAGTCAAAGGAGTGTGCATAATACTTTGTCATATATGTCAAGTTTGAAATACTTATATAATGTTTAGGAATCCACTCATATGTAATAAAGATAGTGAGAAGTCACCTCAGGGATGAGGGTGAGGAAGGTGGTGAAGAGGGTCCCTAAGGGGCTTCAGCAGTGAGGTTGCTCCATTCCCCATGATTATTGATGGGTAAGTTCTTCTCTATACCTTGATATGTATCTGAAATAGTTCATAAAAAAGTTTTTTCAAAAGAAAAAAAAAGCACCCATTCCTATTTAAAATGTATTTCTTCCAGTCTTTCCACTATGCTTAGTTTATATACTTGTGATTATCTTGTGTATACAAACTCACCTTGTGCCTTTTACAGAATGAGAAAATTTCCTTATACTATCGAAAACTTTTCAGAAATGTTATCAATGACAGAATGATATCACAACTGTGGATACACCATAATGTATTTATCAGTGCCCAACTAGTTGATTCCAATTTTAGATAATTTTTTTTCTCATTTTTCAGTGCAAAGAATGTCTGTGTCCATAAAAGCTTTGGGGGAATATTTGGGATTATTTCTTCTGATGCATGACCACTACTAGAACCACAATATCAAACAGTGTGAGCATTCAAAGACTCTAACTCTGTATTATTACATTTTGCCAAAACAGCTAGACCAGTTCCGCCCCCCTCCCCCGTCCCTGACTGTGCCCGGATCACTCCACTTCCTCTGTAGCTCTGTCAGCCCTAAACAGTTTCCTTTTAAAAAGCCCTTACTATTTTGATCGGTGACAATGGAAGCTTATTTGTATTGTTTTGAGAACACCCCCCACAAACGCACGTAAAACCTCTATAAAGGGAGAACCGCCTTGCTGCTGAGGGCGCGGTGGGACCCGTCGCAGGGCCAGCTGCTCCGGCAGGTGCCCCCAAAGGGTCCCGCAGGTGATCCTCGGGGACTGAGCGCCCATCGCCCTTCCTACGCACTCAGATCCGCCGAGCCCAGCGCCCGCCAGAGCCCAGAGAGTCCTCGGGGTCAGAGTGGTCACGTCACCGTCATTCTTTTCCTGCCCGACTAGTCGCTCTGGGCTCCCCGGGGCCGGGGGCCGGGGGCCGAGCCGCCGCCCCGATTCCGGCTTCACCCGCCCGCAGCGCGCGGCGCCCCGCGCTCCATTCGCGCTACCTGGCGGCTGGCAGGCTGCCCCACCCCACCGCGGGCCACACACAGCCAGGGTGGGACCCCGGCCGCTTTCTCTTTCCCAGGGAGAGGACTGGAATTTGGGGGGGAGGTGGGAATTGAGGAAGTCGGGAAGGGAGGAGTAGAGAGGTGGGTGAGAAGGGGGAGGATGCTTCTAGAAGGCGGGTGAGGGAGCTGGGGAGGCCAGGAAGGGGAGGAAGGGGTAAGAGGTGCGGGAGGGCCTAACGGGGAGACTCCGGGGGCAATCAGTGGGTATTCACAGGGAGCTGGGCGCGAGCATCAGCGGGATGAAAGGCAGGTCAGGGCTTGCCCGTCAGGTCCGGACTGCGCCCTGGAGGGGCTCCCAGTAGAGCCTGCGCAGGAGCGCGGGGAGCGCGCAGCCCAGGCCTCTGGCCAGGTGGAGCAAGAGGAGGGCGGAGGTGGACAGCGCATCTCGCCCGTGGAGGACGGGCAAGGACGCCGCCTGCCCAGCTGTTGGAGTCTCCTGGGCACGGACTGAGGGGGAGGGTCTGAAGAGCCCAGAGATCCCAGAGGGACCAGCTTCTTGTTACAGGGAAAATCCTCACCACCGAGAGATGCAATGAGTGAATCACGGTCTAGCCCTGTTTGGGAGACTCTGTGGCCATTAAAAATGGCGATGCTCCCCAGAGTGTGTGGGGCACAGGAATCCTCTAGGGGGCTTACGAAAATGCAGATTCCGGTTCGGGCCTGACATTCTGCTCTTCTCACAAGCCCCCTGGCTCCTGCTATTGATGTAGAGCTAGCTTTAGATTGTACGGTAAAGGGAAAACCAGTAGGTGTGGGATGAGCCCATTTTGGTTCTTTGAAAAATGTGTTTCTTACACAAACACACAAACACATATACATATGCAGGAAATAAGATGCAAAAAACAAGAAAACACCAACTATGTTTTTCCCTAAGAGATGGGATTCTAGTCGATCTAAATTTTCTACTTTTTGCTTATCTCTATTTCCTGAATTTTCTTCAGTAAACATACATTCCTATTGTAAGAAAAAAGATTCTCGCAAAACCGTAGAAGTTACTTATTTCAAGGAGAGTGTAGGAGTCAAGGGAAAGCCTCCTTTGAAGGTTTACTAAAAATCACTGACAAAAGGCAGATTAACGGGAAAAAATGCATACAAATTTATTTGATCACAGTTTATGTGACATGGGAGCCTTTAGAATGACAACCCAAAGATACAAGAGAAGCTGTTTTTTGTTTTTGTTTTTGAGACGGAGTCTCTCTGTCGCCAGGCTGGAGTGCAGTGGTGCGATCTCGGCGCACTGCAACCTCTGCCTCCCAGGTTCAAGCGATTCTCCTGCCTCAGCCTCCTTAGTAGCTGGGACTACAGGTGCGCGCCACCACGCCCAGCTAATTTATTTCTGTATTTTTTAGTAGAGACGGGGTTTCACCATATTGGTCAGGCTGGTCTCAAACTCCTGACCTTTCCTTCTGGGGATGGGGCAGGGCCCCTCTTTGGAATGGGGTCCTATGAACTACAATCAAACAAAGTAGTCCAGGCACGGTGGCTCACACCTGTAATCCCACACCAGCACTTTGGAAGGCTGAGGAGGGTGGATCACTTGAGGTCAGGAGTTCAAGACCATTCTGACCAATATAGTGAAACCCTGTCTCTACTAAAATACAACATTAGCCGGGTGTGGTGGCACATGCCTGTAATTTCAGCTACTCAGGAGGCTGAGGCAAGATAATTACTTGAACTCAGGAGGCAGAGATTACAGTGAGCCGAGATTGCGCCATTGCACTCCAGCCTGGGCAACAAGAGCGAAACTCATGTCTCAACAAAACAAAACAAACAAACAAGAAAAAAACAGTAGGTTAGATCATTTCTTTTTGTTTTATCTTTTGAGACGGAGTCTCTCTCCGTTGCCCAGCCTGGAGTGCAGTGTTGCCATCTCAGCTCATTGCAACCTCCACCTCCCAGGTTCAAGTGATTCTCCTGCCTCAGCCTCCCGAGTAGCTGGGATTATAGGCACCCAACACCATGCCTGGCTCATTTTTCATATCTTTAGTAGAGATGGGGTTTCACCATGTTGGCCAGGCTGGTCTCAAACTCCTGAACTCAGGTGATCCACATGCCTCGGCCTCTCAAAGTGCTGGGATTACAGGCGTGAACCACTGGGCCCGGCCACATCTCTGGTTTCTATGATCTGTCTTGGGGAAGAAAGATTCTAGTTTCTAGGGCTAGCTGCAGGGGAGAATGAGGGGCCAGAGACAGGAGGACAGGAGAAGATCAGAGAAAAACTTTTGCATCTGAGGCCTTCATTTAGGCTCATTTTGTTTTCTGATCCCCAATGAGAGAAATCAGGCAGACGTTTCCAGATTTCCCTCAATTGGAATTAATTGCTCCTCCTGTGCCCTATACTCCTCTGCCTCCCAGGTTCAAGCGATTCTCCTGCCTCAGCCTCCGGAGTAGCTGGGATTACAGGCGCACGCCACCACGCCCAGCTAATTTTTGTATATTTGGTAGAGACAGGGCTTCACCACATTGGCCAGGCTGGTCTCGAACTCCTGACCTCAGGTGATCCGCTTGCCTCGGCCTCCCAAAGTGCTGGGATTATATGCATGAGCCACTGCGCCGAGCCTCTAGCACCTAATTTCTTAATTTAGAAACTTAACTTTCTTATTATCAATAAAACACTAGCTTCAAATTCAGAAGCCCACTCTTCCAGTTCCACATCACTGAAACTCTGTTTTCTCATGTATGAGCTTGGGGTGGTGGAATCTCTCTTGTACAGCTCAAGCTCCAGTGAGGGGAGAGATGGGTTCTCTATGAGTGAAGCCAGGTGCATGGGGTGGGTGATGGTGAGGATGGTGGTGGGGATGTGATGATGGTGATGTTGACTGTATTTGTTTAAATGAAGGGCTGATAATGTGAATAAGAAATCTAGAACCTGATTCCTGGGAATTAACTGGTTATCCCTGAAATGGTCTTTTTCTTCTCTGGACATCTCTATACAATACAAAACACTTTTGGCCGGGTGTGGTGGCTCATGCCTGTAATCCCAGCACTTTGGGAGGCTGAGGTGGGTAGATCGCTTGAGCCCAGGAGCTTGAGACCATCCTGGAAAAAATGGCAAAACCCTGTCTCTACAAAAAATACAAAATTAGCCGGGCATGGTGGCACGTGCCTATAGTCCCAGCTATTCAGGAGGCTGAGGCAGGAGGATCGCTTGAGCCTGGGAGGTGAAGACTGCAGTGAGCAGTGTGCAGTGATCACACCACCACACTCCAGCCTGGGTGACAGAGCAAGACCCTGTCTGGAAAAGAAAGAAAGAAAGAAAGAAAACAGTTTTATTAAGTTCCCCCTCGGTCTTCGGAAAGTTTTAGTCTATCAGACAAGTGGCATTTTTTAACTCATAATTTTTCATATTTTTATTAATCAAAGTCATTTGTAACTACCAGAGCTTTTAGTCAACCTGAAATGCAATATAACCACACTGAGCAGGTGCAATTCTATGCAAAAGAAAATTGACATTTTAGTTGACCTGTGCAGCTTTGTAAGAGGTAATTCTTTCATTGTTGTAAAGGCTTTTAAAATGGTGAAAAAGGCCCATGGATTCCCTAAGAATCTATCCTTAAAGAAACTGTGCATTGCAGAAGATAAAATGTATTTACAGAGATGTTTGCTGCATTATTTATTATGACTTAAACAGTAGAAACACACTAAATATTCATCTGTAAATAAATTAGGGCTTATTTGCATATTTGCACAATGGCATGCTTTGCAGCCATTAAAAGTTATGTTCGGTCTTAGGGTGGAGAAAGATTTCCAATGCGGGGCACCAAACCCAGAAGCCATTAGGGAAAAGCTGACAGATTTGACACCATAAATATTAAAAAGCTTGTCCTTGAAAGACATCATAAACAAAGTAAAAATACAAGTGCCAAACTGAGATAAAATATGCAAGAGGAAAAATATTAAATCCACATATTTTTATTTTCCCTGTAAATCACACTCTTTCAGCTTCTCCTCCCCAAGGCTGAGCCATGAAGCTCATTGCCCAGGGAAAGAAGGGCAGGTACTGCCTGGGACAGAGGCACCCTTGAGAGACTTTCTTAACTTTCCTTAACCCATTTAGCAAGACCAGAGGCTCAAATGCAAGCCTTTATGGAAAAAAGAAAAGGAATGATTTTGATTTTATCCTGAAGCTCGTCCTCTAATAGATCAAGGCTCAACCTTGGTGGACTTTTTTTTTGAGACAGAGTCTCACTCTGTCGCCCAGGCTGGAGTGCAATGGAGTGATCCCGGCTCACTGCAACTTCTTTTTTTTTTTTTAATTATACTTTAAGTTCTAGGGTACATGTGCACAACGTGCAGGTTTGTTACATATGTATACATGTGCCATGTTGGTGTGCTGCACCCATTAATTCACTGCAACTTCTGCCACCCACGTTCAAGCAATTCTCCTGCCTCAGCCTCCCGAGTAGCTGGGATTACAGGCATGCGCCACCATGCCTGGCTAATTTTTATTTTAGTAGAGATGCGGTTTCGCTATGTGGGTCAGGCTGGTCTGGAACTCCTGACTTCAGGTGATCTGCCCGCCTCAGCCTCCCAAAGTGCTGGGATTACAGGCGTGAGCCGCCGCACCTGGCCAACCTTGGTAGATTTAATCATGAAAGTCCACATGGGAGATGCGCTATCAAGAGGAAGTGGAAAAATGCCCCCCCTTCCCTGGGAGGGTTGTAGGGGGAGGAGGAAGATGGAGGGGGGAGGAGGAAGATGGAGGGGGGAGGAGGAAGATGGAAGGGGGAAGAGGAAGATGGAGCAGGGAGAAGCAGTTGTGAGAGATGTGTCCTGACAGCCCCAGTTCTAGACACAGGCAGATTGAAAGAAACACCGAAAGCAGAAGAGAAGCCTCTGACTCTGTTTCAATTTGGGCTTCTGGGAAGAGAAGCCTCACCAGGTACCTGCCCTGTATCAATCTGTCTGCCTATTAGGCAGAGACAAGACCAACAATTAGCTGCCCATTCATTGGCATGAAAAGTGTCGAGAATTTCCTGGATACTCTTGCAGGGGAAGAGCTTCTGTGAGGAGAGGTGACCCTATAGTTGACGGCTGGGTGGTCACTCAGGCTGGGAGCCTAATGGAAGTTCCCTGAGGGGGATCAAGCACAGTAGTAGGACCAAAGTGGAGAAGAATCAATTGAAAGGACCCCTGGACTCGGAGGAGCTAGAGTTTCTCAGCTATCAACGTAAGCAACAGATGTCAGCGAGATTCATGCCCTGTGATGGGGTCAACATGAAACTGGCTACAGAAATCAGAGGAGGTATAGGGCAGCACATGAATCTGTGCTCAGGAACTGAGGCCTGTTCTTCACCTTCACCACTAGACCAGCTAAGACCCACCTCCCACACCCCAAATGCCATCTCAGAGAATAAGCAGCAGGAGGAGGATGAGCTGAGATCATGGGTCGGGTAGCCGCAACAAAAAGATCTTGAAGATGGTGGCTTAAAAAATAGGAGCTGGTTTCTCTCTCAGATAAAAGTGCAGGTGGGCTGGGCGCAGTAGCTCACACTTGTAATCCCAGAACTTTGGGAGGCCGGGGCAGGCAGATCACTTGAGGTCAGGGGTTCGAGACCAGCCTGGCCAACATGGCAAAACCCCCTCTCTACTAAAAATACAAAAATTAGCCAGGCATGGTGGCGCATGCCTGTAATCCCACCAGCTACTCTGGAGGCTGAGGCACGAGAATCGCTTGAACCCAGGAGATGGAGGTTGCAGTGAGCCGAGATCGCAGCACTGCACTCCAGCCTGGATGACAGAGTGAGACTGTGTCTCAAAAACAAAAAAACAAAAAAACAAAAAACAGGCCAGGTGGTGGGCAATGCAGACTAGGCATGGCAGCTGGATGGGGTCAGGGACTGAAGCTCTATGTGCTTTTCGCAACGTGGGACTTCTAGCTCGTGCTCTAAGATACCTGCTGTAGCTCCTATCATTATGTTTGGATTCTAGCTGGTGGGAAGAGGGAAAACAATAAATCAAGACAAACTCCTCCCGATTCCCTTTAAGAGCATGACCCGGAAGTAGCACACATCACATATGCTCCCATTCCATTGTCTAGAACTAGGTAACTTTGCTACATCCAGCTGGAAAGGAGCCTGGGCAGCCACCCAAATGTCCGTCTGTCTCACTCACAGAACACACTTGCTCCTCCCCAAGGAAGACAGGTCTACAGTGATGGCATCTGTGCAAAGTGCAGACTCTCTGGATCCTCTCCCAAAGGTCCAGATGTGACTCTCTCTCTGCTGACCTATAAACCAAAAGAAAAGTTACTTCTCTTGCTTCTTATGACATATAAACCCAGTATGCGCTGGGGGAGAAGGAACAGGATAACTAATAAAAACTTTCAGAAAAGGGAAGAACGGAAAACATGCATTAGTCACTGGTTCATAGCGATAATGAGATCCTACAAAGACTCCCTTCCCTTGCATGGAGTCACCACTGGCATCGCTGTCTGGGAGCAAGTCCCTTGTCCACTGGCCCCAGAGAGGACGGGCTTGTTTTCTGGGAGGTTATTCTCTGTCAGTTGTTTTTTCTGGCCACATCTCAAGTGGGCACTGGAGACTATATCCTTTGAGGAAGGGGGAGCTCATAGGTTCCACAACCTCTTTCAGCCTGTGCTGTCTGGGGACCCTAGAGTTACTTTAGGAGTCAAAACCATCCCAGGCTTTTGTAGACCATATCTGTGGTTTCTTTTTTTCTTTTTCTTTTTCTTTTTTTTTTTTTTGAGACGGAGTTTTGCTCTTGTTGTCCAGGCTGCAGTGCAATGGTGTGGTCTCCGCTCACTGCAAACTCTTTCTCGCAGGTTCAAGCCATCCTCCTGCCTCGGCCTCCCAAATAGCTGGGATTACAGGCACCCGCCACCATGCCCTGCTAATTTTTGTATTTTTAGTAGAGACAGGGTTTCATCATGTTGGCAGGCTGGTCTCGAACTCCCGACCTCAGGGGATCCACCCACCTCAGCCTCCCAAAGTGCTGGGATTACAGGCATGAGCCACCATGCCCAGCCATATCCATGGTTTCTTTGGCAATAAAATTTCTTCCAAAAGTTAGTAGGTTCTGTGTTGCTACCACGTGCAAGTAACCACAGTTGCAGCTCTTCGTTAGGCACAGCTTTTGCACTGGAAAAGTCTGTTCTTTAATTTACTGACTTTGACTCTGCCCCTTTTATTCTGGTAGGTGGTTAAATTACCAGTGGATCTTATTGATCCCGCAGGCTTGGTCTGTTTTGGTTTTGTCCTTAGTCTTAGGAATTGGTCCTTACTCTAGACAGAACATGGTCCTTACTCCTAACTATGGATTGGCCGGAACTCCCAACACTGTGCCACCTCTGGCATTCCCATCCAGCTCTGAGCCCTATCCAGCTCTTAGCAGCCTTCTTCTAGACTTCACGGTGTCTTGCTGGCATGTGCTCAGCCAAGCCCTCAGCCAAAGGTCATTGGAGAAACCCAAAGTAGACTGGAAGCACCCTCACCCCCATGCAGATCCTCCTTTCTGTTGTATTGCCCTGCAAATTCCAGCCAATTCGGCAGCACCAAACTCCAATTTCTGCCTCTTGAGCTCAGCAAGAATGTGTTGCTCTGTGTAAGCTTCATCTCCCCATACTGTGACTCAGAAACGCCCCCAGAAAGAAAGCCAGGGCCAATATAGAATTC